>NC_000020.11:1733001-1884516 GCF_000001405.40 Homo sapiens | reverse complement strand
ACATTTGAGTGTGTATGCATGCATTGTGTGTTTTGCTGTGTGGCTATATATGAGTGTGTGTGTATGTCTATGTTGCACCGCAAATATCCACGTGTGCTGTGCATGTCTTTCTCTGTTTTTCTGCATGCCTGCGTGTCCAGGTGTATGTCACTGTGGGGTTGTGTGTCTGTCTCTGGTTTGTTTGCATGTGTGTGAGTGCTGTACGCATGTGGGCGTGTGCTGTTTGCACTGTCTGTGTGTGCGTGCACATCTCTGTTTCTTTGTGTGTCTGTGTGCCTGGGGCCCTCCTTTGTGTGTCTCTGTGTGTGTGTCTGAATCTGCAGGAGTGCGTTTCCCTTCCCTGCTCAGCCCTTTCAGGGAGCTGAGGTGATTCGCTGCAGCCTGGTCGACTTAAGGCCGTCCGACTGGCAGGCAGCATGGCTTCCACACCCTCCTCTCTGTTCTGCTGTGCTAATCACTGGGTTATATGTAGATGGCAAATGTGTGGCTGCCAGGCTTGGAGGAGGGACTGTGGAGGGGGGTGTGCAGATGAGCAGACACCAAAGAGTGAAAAGACAATTTAAAGGCAGAAAGGGGGAAAACAAGCCTGCTTGGCTTTGGAGTTACGGGTGTGGGGTTCTTCCCAGAGGCGTGAATTTTATTAAGGGGATGTGATGACTACGATGTCTTCCTTCCCCTAATCAAGTAAGAGTCTTAGAATCACAGGATTCTAAAATCTTGGAATTGTCGAACTATAGAATTCTAGAATCTCAGCCGAATGCAACTCTAGACGCGTAGAACCTCTTCAAGGACCCTAATCCTCCTGGGATTTTAGCATCTTCACATGCACATGCAGTTCTTCTTGTCCCCCTTCTCTTTGTATAGAATCATGGCCAGAAAATGACCTTGAAAGTTCATCCAGTCCACCCCACCCTGGCTCCGGGCAGGGCAGTGGAGACAGAGGTCCAGCCAGTGAGGACATTCTTGGAAGTGTTGCACTGGAATCTTCCCTGGCTCTCTTGCTGGACAAGGACTTGTTGCCTGAAGGGTCTGGGGTCTCATATTACTCTCCCCACCGCCACCTGCCACAGGGACTGAGTTCCTGGCGAAGACAAAGGCACCTATGTTCCTAGGATATGTTCTTAGCAGTTCAGGAGCTGACACAGGCTGCAGGTGTGGGGAGAGTAAAGGGGCAGGGCTCTGTTTCTCTGAGATCCTCCCTCGGTGGAGTCTCAGTAACCTAGCCTGGGGTGGGGGTGGGTAGCTAACCAGGCAACCACACTCATGCCCCAGGATATTCAGTGGGGTGTCTTCTTCCTCTTATTGCTTCCTCTTACTGCTTAAAAGAGTAGACTATATCCGGTCGGGCACGGTGGCTCACGCCTGTAATCCCAGCACTTTGGGAGGCCCAAGTGGGTGGATCACCTGAGGTCAGGAGTTCAAGACCAGCCTGGCCAACATGGTGAAACCCTGTCTCTACTAAAAATACAAAAATTAGCTGGGCTTGGTGGCGCATACCTGTAATCCTATAATCCCAGCTAATCAGGAGGCTGAGGCAGGAGAATCGCTTGAACCCGGGAGGCAGAGGTTGCAGTGAGCCAAGATCACGCTATTGCACTCCAGCCTGGGGGACAAGAGCGAGACTTCATCTCAAAAAAAAAAAAAAAAAAAAAAGAGAGTAGACTGTGTCCTATCTCAGGAATCCTGGGAGCCATGGACTATCCCTGAGGGAGGGCATTGCACTGTACTTTGAAACCCTCCAGGACTCACCTATACTCTTTAATGTGGCAGCTTTTCAGGCTCTGGCTACTAGCCATCCCATCCCTCCCTCCCTCCCTCCCTTGCTCCCTGCCTCACTCCCTCCCTTTCACACATGTCCAGCCGCAGTGAACTCCCTATTCACCTTGAAGCTACTTGACTTCATGCCTCTGAATGTTTGCACAGGCTCGCTCTCTTCTTTATCTCTTCTTCTTGGTGCAAACCTTGTTCATCCTTGGAATACAAGCTCTCACTCAATTGTAAGCACCATGAGAGAGTTTGGTTTATTTAATACTTTATTTCCCTGAATCTACAACATTTGGCACACATTAGGTATTGAACCAATGTTTGTTAAATGACTGACTGAATGTACAGTTCAAAGTCAGCTCATTTCCACTCTGAAGCCTCAATTCTCCAACCCCTTCTAGATATTTCCCTGGGGCCCGCACCACGCCCGAGATTACCTGTGGTTGTGAGCCCTTGCTTACTTCTTCAGCGGACAGGGAACCTCTTGAAGCTGGAGTCGTGTCTGGTTAATCTTTTTACACGTAGCATCCAGTTCAGGGCCTGGTACCCAGCAGGTGCCCAGCAAATGTGGGGCCCTTGCCAGCAGCCTGGCTTGGTGACTTGAAATCCCCTGTTGGTCCCAACTGCATGCACCGGTCCAAGCTGTTGGCAACATCTGCCTCAGAGTCTCATTTGCAATTATACATTCTCAGGCTCTTGCCACTTAATATTTAATAACCAGGCGGGTGGCCTTCTCTGGCAGCCAGTTAAGTCCCTGATTGCCTCTTGTCTGAACTTGGCCCCAAGTGAGGCAGGGACTGCTTTGGGGTTAAGTGTAAAGTCTGTGTCCTGAGTTGGGGGCTAGCATAAGGCCAGACCGTTGGAGATGGAGGAAGGAACGGCTGCTGGCTCAAGGCTTCTGGGTGACCTTACCAGGCAAGAGGCAGGTTGGGTATTTGCTCCAACTGGTTCCACCTCTCCTCCCCTTCCATGTAGGTCGACGCCCGCTCCTGGCCTCATAACAGGGGAGGAGGAAGGGAGGAAATTTGTTAATGAGAGGGTCCCTGACTCACATCTGATTGGTCCAGGAGAAAGAAAGGGGGATTCCGCCTGGGCTGTGTCCCAGCAGGAAAGGTGGTTCTATCCTGTGTGGTTTGGCCACCAGGAGCCAGGGCAGTCCCTGTGAGGGCCTATGGCGCCACGGAGTGGGGCTCTGGCAGCCGTGCCAGCCTCTCCTGGCACAAGGCTGGGGAATCCTTCCAAGTTGGCTGTGGAAGGAGATGAGGCAAATGGTGATGACCTGACCCTAGGGGTAACCCAAGCTGCTGCCGAGCTCTGTGAAACCCTGCAGGCCCAGGGAGGCGTGGGTCAGTTCTAAAGGCTGACCTCTGCAGAACTGCTGGGGTGAGAGGGCGCAGAGAGGCCAAGTGACATCCAAAGGTCATGGGAGGCTCCAGGAAGGGGAACAGCAAGCACAAAGGCTCTGAGGCTGGACTCTGCTACCGAAGCCCGAGGTCCAGAGAAGGACTCACACCTGGGAATCTCAGACTTTAGATCCCAGAGGACATTTTACAGGGTCAAGAGATCCCACTCTGCCCCTAACAAGCCCAGTGACCTGGGACAAGTCACCCTGGTGTTTATGCTGTCACCGCACATGTTGGGCAACATGACTGCCTGAACCCTTCCTGCGTGGAGTCCTCTGTTATCCCCTCAGAGGTCATTTGGTGCAATCCAGGAATCTGAGACCAGAAATGCCGCTCTGTTGATCAACAGGGCTGGTTCCTGTAGAAGGTGGTGCTTAGTGTAGAACACTATGCTTTCCCAATGGGCAGTGTTTACCAGCACTTACTGTATGCAAGGGGCCACGCTCAATAAACCCTCTGCTAACATACATGGTCTCAATCACCTGTGCCATCCTTGTCCCTTCCCTTTCCCTCTCCTGCTCATCATCCTCAGATCCTGTGACAGTATCTTTAAAACCCAGCCCAGCCCTGGTCCACTGTCTCGTCCCACATTCCCCTGCACTACCTTCTTAGACCACAGCTGCTGTCATGCCCATGGCTGTACCAGCCTCTTTTCAGCTCCCCTGCACCACCCTGGCCTCTGCAATCCATCCCCTACCAGCAGCCAGGAGGCCTTTGAACCATCAAAATCAGATCACATCCCTCCCCTGCTCTGAACCTCCAGGGACTGCCATGGTGCTTCCAGTCAAAATGAATCCTGCAGCCATGCTGCTCTACGTGGCCAGTCCCCACTCTTCTCCATCCTGAGGTTGTCCATCTTTGCTGCCCACTCTGCTTCAGCCACACTGGCCTCCTTCCTCTCCTCAAACGTGTCCCTTGAGGCCAACCTGGGGCCCTTCAAGGCTGTTGATGTCACCTGCGCCTTAGTTCAAATGCCTCCCCCCAGAGTATCCTTCCTTCATTCTCTAAAAGACCGCTCCTCCTTACATCTGGCCCCTTGTTATCCCATTTCCAAGTTTTATAGCACTTATCACTTTCTCATATTTCTCTTATTTATTTATGTGCACCCTCCCCCACCTGGAATGCAAATTTCGTCAGAACAAGACTTAGTCCCTGTTGTTCCCTGCTGGTTCCCAGTGCCTAGAAGGCACCAGCACGTGGCAGGGACTCCATGGGATTTGTCAGAGGAGGGATGACATGGCCTCGAGGGATGAGTGTAATAGTAGTATCCCATTTAATAGGAAGCCCAGCAATGCTAGGTGCCTGTGCAACTTACCAAACTTGTGAAGGGTGGAGTCGGGATTCAAACCCCCATCCAGGGGGCTCCAGCATCTATGCTTTTGTTCAGGAGGCTGCATGCTGTGGTCATGGTCAGAGCCCCTGAGCCCCAGGGACTCAGAGGTCAATTAGGGGTGGGGGAGGGGGAGGCACTGGTGCTGGTGGTGCCTGGGATGTACTTTTCGATTTTGCCCCCAGCTGGGGCCCTACCTTAAGGTTAGGGTTCTGGAACGAGGGGCAGCCTCACCCATACCCCTCTGCCCAAAGGCTACCCCTGTAGCTCCTGTTGAGGCTGCTGGGCCCCCTGGAAGTCCCTGGCTTAGCTGTGGGTCAGTGAGCTCATCCCCTGCCCACCCTACGGCTTTCCAACGCTCCCTCCCTCTGCCGCAGTCGTTGCTACACAAGTTAATGGAATAACAAGACACTTTACCTATTATCTGATGCAAATACCTTTCCTCGCCAGCACCAGCTGTACAGCTCAGATCTTCCTGTAACCCAGCAAACAGGCCTTCAGCTCCAGGCTCCAGCTGAAGAGGCCTGAGCACCAGCCAGGCACTGACAACCCCCTAGCTCGAGCCCTGGAAGGAGGGGTCAGGGGTGTTGTGCTGATGGGGTTGTGGCACCAATCTTAGTACTTTTCACCGGCGACCGTACAGTGAGGCCCACTGTGCACAGGTAGTTTGCATATTTCACCTTCACGTGATTACATACAATTCTGATCCTCACTAGGCAGATGTGAGGATGAAAGGCTCAGGCAAGTCTGTGTAGCGCTCAAGTGGTGGATCCAGGTGGGTTTCACACCCACATCCTAAAACTTGACCCCTCTCCTATCCACTTCCTAAGGGCTTTGTCTGAGTGGCTCCATTTAGACCCGATTTCTCTAATAGCTCCATAGTAGGAGTTCTACTTATAGACAAAGAAGACGAAGGGGGTAGCACCTTGCTCAGCCACACCAGGGTAAGTAGGACTGTATGCCCAGGAAGGTGGATGTGTGTAGGGGGGTGCAGTTGGGTCAGGAGAGTTCCCAAAGCTTGCCCCTTGGGAAGCTCTGTCCTGGGACCCCCGCACCACCAAAACACACCTGGCCTAGTTCATATTCAGTGCTGCAGGCATGTACAGGGCATGTACGCAGGCATGTACAGGGCACCTAGCAGGTGCTGGGATCACCCAGATGGAAGGTGGACCTCCTCCAAACAACTACATGAATCTCACAGGATGGCAGGACAGACTTAAGCTCCCTGTGCCTCAGTTTTCTCATCTCTAAAATGGGGAAGATAATACTGTTACTTCTTCTGTAGAGTTGTGCTAAGGATGAAATGAGAATGAAGCACTTAAAAGAGGACCGAGCACATACTCAGTGACCAATCAACAGCCGTTTTTATTGTCACCTCCAGATCCCACATAGGCAGCTCTTCTCGAGGTCTATCGTCCTGACAAATAAAGCGCTAGTTCTGTCTAGGTCAGAATTGCCTCTAAGCCAGTGGTTCTTAAACTCCAGTGTGCGCTTCAGAATCCAGTAGCATCATGTGAAAAATGTAGCCACAGCAGGTCTGAATGGGCTTTCTAGGAAGCTGCCTGCATCCCATTCTGACACAGGTGGTTTGCAGCAGGGCTCAGACCCATTGCTCTGGGGGGCACCAATGAGACTTTGTCATGGGAACGTGACTCCTGGTGACCAGCCCCTCCTCATCGCCATCAAGGGAGGTTTAGGATGTAGCATAGTGGTCAAGGCCTTGCCAGGAGACCTGGGTTCAAATCCCGGCTTCCCTCTTCTGGGCAAATGGCTTCCCTCATTTCCTTTTCTGAGACACAGAGGTTCCACAGTTCCCATCTCCCTGTCTGAGGGTTGGATGAATGCCTATCCAGAGTGGGCCTGAGACATGTTGCACACCCAGCAAGCAGGAGTGGCTGCCACCTTCGCCCCGCAGCAGTTTGTCTTCTGAGGCTTCTGTCCCTGAGTGTTTTATTTTCTGTTGATAGATTCCAGCTCATGTTCATGGGTCTGCACCTGCATACAAATGCCAAGAGGACTGGCCCACCCCCGGGATCTGTCCTCACCCGCTCCTCACCAAGCACCCGGCTGCAAGTTCCCAGCAGGGCTCGGAAGTCCCGGGGCCTCCTGTGAAGCTGGGACCACCATGCTGGTCCAGCCTCCTTGGTTGTGGTCGTGGCCGGAAGCAGCCAGACTGCTGGCCCCTTTGAGAGCGGGTGTCTCTGTGAGAGAGTGACTGCTGGGAGGTCTTCAGGGAACTTGGGCGCCGCTGGGACAATTGGTCGCTGTTTGGGGGAGTGAGGTTGGCAGGCCCTTGGCCCTCGGCACTGAGCCTCTGCCAGGCCCCTGCCAAGCCTGGGGCTGGTTTCCCACTGCCTGCTAGTTTCAGGGCCATTTGGGGAGGGGGCCCAGGGGAATTCATTGCCCCTCTCTTCAGCGTCTTTGCTGTGGTCCAGGAAGCCCGGGCAGTGTCTGCTCTCAGACAGCAGGTCAGCACAGCCTCAGACATGTTCTGATGATGCCCGCTGTGTACCAGGCTAGGGGCGGGATACTTAGAACCAGCCTCCCAGATGCCTTAGAGACCTCTCCAATGGGCTGCCAGGGGCCTCACAGGCCATGGTAATGCAGAAGCCCTGGCTAGATTGAGCCCTTGCATGCTTGTTAACTCTGGTTGGCCCTAGTCAAGAGCCTTGGCTGGGGAAACAACTGACAAAACAAAGCCTCTACCCTCCTGCAACTTACTTTCTCACGTGGGGAGGTGGGGGTCAAAGCTGTGACAGTGCGGGGGAGAAAAATAAAGTGGGGATGGATACAGGGGGATGGATACAGGGGGGATGGACACGGGGATGGACACAGGGGGATGGACACAGGGGGGATGGATACAGGGGGGTGGATACAGGGGGGTGGATACAGGGGATGGACACAGGGGATGGATACAGGGGATGGACACAGGGGGATGGACACGGGGGGATGGACACGGGGATGGACACGGGGGATGGACACGGGGCTGGATACAGGGTGGTGGACACACAGGGGTGGTGTGGGGGTGATTTCTGCCAAGGGGTCGGGGAAGGTCTCTCTGAAAAGGTGACATATGAGCGGAGATATGTAGCTATGTGGAGGAAGAGTGTTCAGGCAGAAGGAACAGCATGTGCAAAGCTGCTGAGCAGGGACAGGGCCTGACATGTTTGAGAAAGGCTGGGAGGCGGGTGTGACTGGAGCAGACGGAGGGAGAGGGGGAGGGGAGGCAAGGAGGCCTAAGCAGAGAAACTCCTCCCCACCACCATTGTCCCATCTTACAGACAGGAAACTGAGCCCAGAGAGGTTAAGCAACTTGCCCGAGGCCATGCACCTGGTCAGTGGAGGTACCTGGCTGGATGCCCACTGTGATGTCAGAGCCACTTAGCACCATGTGACTAACATGCTCTGTTGTAAAGCACAAGTGGCACCTTGTAATCCGTGACCTGGGGTCTCTGAGTGCTAGTGGTTTCCCTTTTAACTGTAAGCCCATTTGGCAAGGTTGTGTGCTGGGCACCCAGGAGCCGGGCCATCTTTAAGGACCTTCCTGAGATCTGGAGTCTGACAGGCCTGGGTTCGAATCCCTCTTCTATACTCACTAATCACTGGGGTTTTCTAGGCCTTGGTTTGCTTCTCTGTAAAATGGGCCTAATGCTGCCTACCTCAGTGGCCTGGCAGGAGTGAATCAGCCCGAGATCTGGTGGATACTTAGAAAACATTTACCACCTTCAGACCCCCTCACCCAGGCCTCTAAAGCTGTGGTCCTCAAACCTCACAGTGTCCTTCCCTGGGAAGAAACAGCCCTCCCCAGAAGTGCTGGGTCTGCATGCCTGGGGGCTTTAAACGGGATTCTGATGGGAGGTGCTGCAGGACCACCACTGCGGTAAGGTTTCTGCAAACCTTGTACAAATGGGAGATGTTGGCATCCCCCACTGTCTCTTCCCAGGGCCCTTGCTGCTTTTCCTTTGTGGCATCCATCACACTTGTAATTACTTGTTTAGCATCTGTCTGCTTCTCTGGGCTGCGTGTGCTGGCCTTGTTCATGGCTGGGTCCCCAGCACTGAGCAGCCTGCCTGGGGCGTAATAAGTGTGTGTTGGGAAAACAAACAAACAGGCGCCTGGCTGGCTGAATAAATGCTCGGATGCTCTTCAGAGCAGCTGGACTCAGTGTCCCCCCACCCCAAGGCCTGGGTTCTGACACAGGCTCTGCGGCCACACACTTCTTGTGTGATCTTGGGCAAGTCATCGTGTTCTCTGAGAAATTACATTGATTACTGAGGAGGAGTTGCGTGCAGAGGATCCCTGAGAGCTCTGGAAGAACTTGTTGGAAGTGGGTTTTTGGAAGAAGAAACTGCATGAGCAAAGGTAAGGAGGGAGGAAAGTGCACAGCTTGTTCAGGGGACGGCCAGATGGCCAGGGGGTCCGATGCTCTTCGTACACCATGGTGTGCGTGTCTGTGTATGGGGGAGTGTGGGATGTGTGTTTATGTTGCTGTGTGTGTGTGAGTTTCAGAGTGTATATGTGTGTGGTGTGTTACTGTGTGTTGTGAAGAGTGAGAAGCTGAGGCACAAGGAGGGTAAGGGTCTTACTTGATGTCCCTGGGGTGGGTGGCACGTGGTAGCCACCCTCTCATGCATGCCCTTATCCTCTGCTCCCCTGGCCTCAGGATGTACCAGGCACTGGGGTTCCATCAGCTACAATGGCAAACAGAATCCCTGCCTTCACAGGGACTGCTGTCGCAAATAGAGGGGTGACATTGTGGAGCAAGGGCGCAGTTGGCTCTGAGGGCCTCGAAGGTCAGGCTGTTGAGCTTAGACTTAGGCCTGGAGGCATGGGGAACCGTGGGAGGGATCTTGGAGGGGAGGTGCCCTGGGAGACATTGAGGAAGGAAAATGCACCATGAGATAAGTTCTGCAGCTGCAGAGCATTGGGCGCTGCTGATGGAGTAATCAGGAGACATTGTGCTCACTTCTTCCCTTCCTAGAAGAGGAATCGCAGCGCAACCGGGGTGAGGCAAGTGTATGGGCAACTTAGCTCAGTAGCTAGTGTCTGTGTGTGCGGTGTGTGTGTGCTTGTGTGGTGTGTGTGTGTGTGTGTGTTGTAGAGTGACTCAGAGTGGACTCTGCACCTCTGCGAGAGGGAATTCTATCATGGAAATAGTTTGGTGGCCCTCGGAGGCACAGGGTCATGCAGCAAGCTGGCACTAGAATATTTCAAGCTCGCAGTAATGAAAGCAAATGGCAATTTGGCGTGTCTTCAGGCTTGAAAGCCGCAGAGCAGTGTTCAGTCATCAGCGGCGGTTATCACCCACCGATAATGGAGGCTGCTGCTCGGGGCCCGGTGAGGGAGAGGAGGGTTCAGAGAGGTTAAGTGACTTGCCCAGCATCACATGGCCGGTAATGGGAGGGCAAAGTCCAAGGTGCAGAGTTTGGCCTTTCCCCCTCCCCCAAGGCCAGGCCGCTCCCCAGAATGGATCATCTCTGAGCATTTTCTGAGTGCTGGTTTCCATAGCAGCAAGGCCGTTCCTGCACAATGGATCCCCATCTTTCCCCAGCTTTGCTGCTGTGGGGGCTGCAGGGGTGGGGATGCTTGGTCTTGGGGACTGCTGGGGTGCCAGTAGGAAGGAGCTGGACAGGCCATTTGGATGATCTTGGGGCCTCCAGCCTTTACAGAAGGGCCACACCTGTTCAGTGTTTTCCATTTCAGCTCTGGAGTTGGGTCCACTTCCAGGTAGAGGGTAGGGAGAGAGAGGACAGAGAATGAAATAGGAAAAACACCAGAAACAGAGAATGGGAAAGTCAGAGACAAAATAAATTTTACAAAAGCCAAGACAGAGAAAAGGTGTTTGCTTTCCAGACAAATTATTTCATTTCATCTTTACAACCTTGGGAGGTAGTTTCTGTTTACTCCAAATTGACAGATGAGGAAACTGAGGGCAAATGCAGTGCTTCTCAAAGTATAGTTCAAGAGCCAGCCTGGGAGGTCACAGGGTGAAAGGTTTTGGAGAGGACAGTGGTTAAAATGCAGATTCTCTCACCCCATCCTGGACCTATAGAATCTGATTCTCTCCGGTGGAACCAGGACTCTGCATTTAGCCAGTTCCCCAGGAGAAATTTCTATGAAGTTTGAGAGTATCCACAGTCAGGAGGGTTGCCCTGTGCTATGCTGAAGTTTATGCAGCACATAAACTCAGAGCCAGGATTTAGGACCCAGAAGGGACCAAGATAGAGAGGAAAGTGACAAAGAGAAGCTTATATGCCTCAGAAGAGATGGCAAAGAGCAAGAGAGAGAAATAAGACTGACAGAGAGACACATTGGGAGAAGTCCTCTGAGCTAAGAGAAGGAGGAATCTGGTAGGACCAGCGTGTACTTTTATGGATTATGGATTGCCTATCACTGTAAACACAGCCCTCACTTAATCCTCACAGCAGTCTGATGAGGTAGGTCCTATTGCTCCCATTTTCTGGATAAGGAAACTGAGGCAAGGAGAACAAAGGGGAAGAGCCTAGCTTTGACCCCTGGTGGCCTGGCTTTGGAAGGGGTCACAGCTTTAACCACCAGGCTAGGCTGCCTCCTAAGCAGAAAGCTCAGGGACTCAGACTTAGACTCCAAATTTTTCTCCATCGCCCTACCTGTGTGACTCTGGGAAGCTTTCTGTGCCTCAGTTGCCTCACCTGCAAAATGGTGATAACAATACCTGTGTCAAGGAGTTCCTGTGGGGCCTTGTCTGAGACGGTACAAGAGCGCAGAGCAGTACCTAGTGCTAGAAGTGCTCCGTAACAGTTAGCTGTCAGTAAATACCTAGAAAGTCCAGGAAGCACATAAAAGTTTCTCACAAATGGTGGGTTTCTTGAGGCCTCTTTGCCCTGAACTGGGGCAAAGGATGGTGTCTTAGTCCATGTTATGCTGCTATAACAGGATGCTGCAGACTGGGTAATTTATAATGAATAGAAATTTATCTGGCTATGATTCTAGAGACTGGGAAGTCCAAGAGCATGGAGCTGGCATCTGGAGAGGGCCCTTGGGCTGCATCATCCCATAGTGGAAGGCAAAAGGGTAAGAGATTGTGCAAGAGAGAACAAGAGGGAAGGGTGCTGAGCTCATCCTTTTACCAAGAACCCAATCCCACGATAACCAACCCACTCCCATGATAATGGCATTAATCATTCCTTAAAGGTCCTACATGTCACCACTCTTGCACTGGGGATTACATGTCCAATATGTGAACTCTGGGGGATACATTCAAAACTTAGCAGAGGGGAAGAGGCTCCCAGTGAGTCTTGCTCTTCTCTGAGTCTAGAGCAAACCTACCAAACACAGAATCATTGATGACACAGAGACAATGGCCCGACTCATGGCCCTATCTGCCACTCTAAGCCATTGGACTCCTGTGAGCCTCACCAGGTTACACAGGGAAGCCCCAACCTGTGACTCACAAGAGCTCACTCCCAAGTCTGCTCTGCCAGATGCTACGGTGGCTCTGGTTGTCACTATTATGTGGACTATTATGTCTACTGTGCACCTGCCAGATATCCTCTGGGTACATTGGTGCCATACCTTCACCCTGTGACTGGGGCGCAGGAGCCCTGGGGATGCCCCACTCACCCTTCCAGGCAAGAATGAGTCCTCCCATTTTACAGATGAGGTAACAGAGGCTCAGAGAGGCAAAGTGATGGGCTGTGGGACACACATCTGGAAAATGGTACAGTCAGCACATACACACGCACACATCTGGCTGTGCTCTGGTTGCCTCTAACAAGCATTTATTGAGCCCCTGCTGTATACCGAGCATTTGTGATATTTGTGAGCATAGTCATTACCTACATCCTCTCATAGGCTGGAGGCAGCGTAAGAGGAAGGAGATCCTCCTACATGGCGTGATGGGTGCAGCAGCAGCAGCAGGTGACACTCATGCAATGTGCCAGGCACACACCCAAGGATGTCTCATCACTCCATGCCACAGCCCTGTGGTCACGTGGTGAACATAGCTTGGGTGGTGATGAGCAGCCAGCCTTGGTCCAGCCCCTGTTCTCAAGTGTGGGTGGTCTTGGGTTGACTGGGGTTGGGGGGAGGTTAGGAAACAAGCCCTGTGACCATTGGACCTTTCTCAGGTAGTGGTGGGCGGTGTGAGCTTTATGTCTTTGCTCTCAGGACAACACAGAGCAGCTGATAATGCTGCTGTTCATTGACCCTGTGATGGTACTGTGGTGTAGTTTATACAATTGAACCTTCGGATTTCACTTACTACCTGAGGGTGGGTTTTTAATGGTCTGTTATTATTATCTCCATTTTACAGATGAAGAAAACTGAGGTTCAGAGATTCTAAGTAGGGAGGATTTGAATCTGGCGCTTGATTGCCAAGGCCTGTCCCCTAACTGCCTCCTGGTTCTCTGGGGAGGGAGGGATGAGGCAGGTCAGGGGCTCTGGGCTGGCTTCCCAAAGGAGGAGGTGAGGGCTAGACTGAGACTTGACGGACAAGCAGGCGTGGGACTGATGGAGCGCGTGTGTGTGTGTGTGTGGAGAGGGGGTGGCGGCTTGGGCAGGGCTTACTAGGTGGGGCCCAGCGGGGCTGGAAGGTGGGAGCAGGGGAGCCGGCTGCAATCTCAGCTTGTCACCTGGGTTACCCTGTGTTAGTAAAATCAAAGTGAGGTCACGCCCCCTCCTGCACTCAGAAGACTCCTGTGGCTCCACGTTGCATGTGGAGGAAAAGCCGAAGTTCTGACAGTGGCCTGCCAGGCCCTGCCCTGGCTGACCCCGGCCACTCCTCTGACCTCATGTCCAGTCTAGGTCCCCTTTGCTCACTGAGCTCAGGCCGTGCATTCAGGAACCACGTCAGGGATGCTCACGGCCCTTCTGCCTGCAAAGCTCTGCTCGGAGATATCTAGAGGGCCCCCTTACCTTGCCAAATCTTTTCATAGACAGGCCTTCCCTGACCATCTTATTTAAAATTGTGACATCCCCCTTTCCGCACCCCTGCCTCTCACACTCTCGCTTCCCCTTTCTTGGTTTAATTGCTACTTTTTCACAGCACTTATCAGCATCTGACATGCTATGTATTTTACTTGCTTATTTGTTTAGTGCCTGGCAGTCCCTGTAATGACGTCAGCTTTAACTGAGATTTTGTCCATGTTATTCACTGCTATATCCCCAGAGCCTAGAACAATGCCTGGCACATACTAGGTGCTCAATAAAATAAATTGTTGCCTAAATAAAAATACCAGCAATGACCCCATCTCATCATCATCCCTCTGCAAGTCATTTTATTTTTTTTCCAGTTTTGGAAGTTGAGGCTCAGAGAAAGCAAGGAGCTTACCCATGGTCATGTAGCGAGTAAAGGGGCAGGGTGGGTGCCCAGCTCTCCTCAGGAAAGAAGGACTTACTGCCCAGCTATTGGTGGTGCAGCAAAGTCCCTGTTGGAGATTGCCCAGTTAAGGAGAGCAGTCTTGCCTGAGGTCATGTCCCCTCCCTGGGCAGCTCATATCTGATGACCGATTTATTCAGGCTCTAAAGGCCCAGCCCAAGCCACTGACCGCAGCCCCAGGCTCTGGTGGCAGTGGAGAGAGAAGCACAGCTTACTTACACCTGACAGCCCTAGGCAGAATGTTTTAGATGCCATATAAGTTGAATTATGTCTTCTCCCACCCGCACCAAATTCATATGTTGAAGCCCCAACCCCCAACACCTTAGCATGTGACTGTATTTGGAGATTGGGTCTTTAAAAAGGTAATTAATTACATGAGGTCATTGAGGGTGGATCTTAATTCAGTATGACTGGTGTCCTTTATAAGGACAACTTTATAAGAAGAGGAGATTAGGATGCAGACACACACAGAGGGAAGACCAGGTAAAGACACAGAAAGAAACAGCCATCTACAAGCCGAGGAGAGAGGCCTCAGAAGAAACCAGCCCTGCCAACACCTTGATCTTGGACTTCTAGCCCCCAGAATTGTGAGACAATAAACTTCTGTTGTTGAAGCACCAGAATATCCTGTGGCTCCGCATTGTGTGCAGAGGAAAAGCGAAAGTCCTTAGAGTGACCCCCAAGGCCCTGCCCTATCTTCTCTCTCTAGACCATAAGTTCCCTGGGAGACGGGTGCTTGTCTGTCTTCTATACTGTGTCTCCAGTATCTAGTGTAGTGTCAGAAACACAGCAAGTGCTCAATAAGTATTGATTGATTGGATTTGCAAAATGACCAGATGTACAAAGTCATTGTGATGCTTAAGTGAGGTTTTAATTGTGAAGCATCATGGCACAAAACAACAGAAATTTATTGTCTCACAATTCTGGGGGCTAGAAGTTCATGATCAAGGGGTCAGCAGGGTTGGTTTCTTTTGAAGCACCAGTATCACAGCCAATTGTGACACTTCGTTTTTTGTTTGTTTGTTTTTGTTTGTGTTTTGAGTTGGAGTCTCACTCTGTCTCCCAGGCTGGAGTGCAGTGGCATGATCTTGGCTCACTGCAACCTCCACCTCTTGGGTTCAAGCCATTCTTCTGCCTCAACCTCCCAAGTAGCTGGGATTACAGGCACCCGCCACCATGCCCTGCTAATTTTTGTATTTTTAGTAGAGAGGAGATTTCACCATGTTGGCCAGGCTAGTCTTGAATTCCTGACCTCAAGTGATCTACCCGCCTCAGTCTCCCAAAGTGCTGGGATTACAGTCATGAGCCACAGCGGCTGGTCGAGTGTGATACTTCGTTATGGCAGCGCTAGCAAATTAATCCAGTGCATTTGCTCATCCAGTCCTTACAAGATCTGCACAGTAAGTCTCATAATTACCCCATTCTGCAGATAAGGAAACAGGCTCAGAGAGGGACAGCGACTTGCCCAACATGACCCAGTTCAGCTCTGTTCTGACCCCAAAGCCAGAGGCAGCGTGCAGTCTAGTGAGAAGATGGGCTTTCACAAGCAAAACTGATGAAGCTGCCTTGGCCATCTGCCCTCATGACTGGGCAGTGCTGTGTGAGCTCAGAGGACCAAGGGCTCCATTTAGGGCAGTCAGCCAGGCTTCCTGCAGGAGGCAGAAGCCCCTGGGCCTTGCAGAGTAAGTACAATTTCGTTAAGGATAGTGAAACCACAGAATTCAGGGTAGACAGCTGCTGTTCAGGGGTGTGGAGGGAGGAATCCTCATGGCCTCCTTGGGTAGGTGCCTCAGTTGCTCATTTGGACAGAGCACAGGGTCCAAACTAGGTCATGGCCGGTCGGGGGAGGAGAGGAGGAAGTGAAGAATTGACGCCAGGTGAATCATCTGGCATGTGTAGTGTGAAGTTATCACATGAGACTGGATTTTAATGTTTTGGTTTTAGGACCCCTTTATACTCTTAAAAATTACTGTGGACCCCAAAGAATTTTGTTTATGTCAGTTTATCTATTGATAGTTACCATGTTAGGAATTAAAACATTTAAGAAACACACTTGGCCAGGTGTGGTGACTCATGCCTATAATCCCATCACTTCAGAAGGCTGAGGCAGGCAGATCACTTGAGGTCAGGAGTTCGAGACCAGCCTGGCCAACATGGTGAAACCCCATCTCTACTAAAAAAAATACAAAAACTAGCTGGGTGTGGTGGTGCGCACTGGTAGTCCCAGCTACTTGGGAGGATGAGGCAGGAGAACTGCTTGAATCTGGGAGGCAGAGGTTGCAGTGAGCTGATATCACACCACTGCACTTCAGCCTGGGCACAGAGTGAGATCTGAAATAAAAAAGAAAAAAGAAGAAGAAAGAAAGGAAAGGAAGGAAAGGAAAGGAGGAAAGAAAGAAAGAAAGAAAGAAAGAAAGAAAGAAAGAAAGAGAAAGAAAGAAAGAAAGAAAGAAAGAGAAAGAAAGAAAGAAAAGAAAAGAAAAGAAAAGAACACTCCATTAGTTGTCAAAGCGAGGTCATCTTCCTAACAATCTTCTAGTGTGTTACTATTATAATCCCATTTTACAGATGAGAAAACTGAGGTCCAGATAAGCTGAGTCATCCAAAGTCTCACAGCTACCATGTGAACTGAGCCAGGATTTGAACCCAGGCATTCTGCCTCCAGAGCCCAGGCTGTTAACTGCTGCATCATGCTGGACATGCTGCACCTGCCCCCATTCCTACCCCAGGTATGGAGTTTGGACATTATCCTAGGAGTCTTGGGCTAAATCCCTGGAGCCTGTCTATAGCCAGTAGAATGGGGTACAAGGAGTTAAGCTTTCCCGAGATGAGATTTCAAACCGTGAAAGGGATGCTTTACCCCAGAGGCACACCAGGCATCCCACACCCACCTCCACACAAGACAGGGGTGAGAAGTCTGCTCTCACAGCCAAAGCCTTTGAAATGTTATTTCCTGAAGTGTTGCCTCACCCCTACCACAGCTCAAAGCCTCTGGGACTGGGGCTCCCTCCAGGAAGCAGCTGGTCCCCATCCTTCCTCCTGCATAGAGCCTGGGACCAGCCAGGACCAGAGATAACTTAGCTCTCTGTAGGGTATAGGGCAGGATAAGTCCTGGCTAAAATCTGCCCTCCCACTGAAAGCCTTGCCCAGCCCACATGCACCTTGATTTAGCTCATTTTTACTGTATTTGCAGGGGACCTCCTGTGTGCCATGACGCTTCACAATCAGAACCTCGCTTAAGCCTCATGACAACTTTATGCATCTGGTCATTTTGCAAATCCAATCAATCAATACGGAGCACTTGCTATGTTCCTGATGCTAAACTAGATACCAGGGACACGGTGCAGAGGATGAAGACAGATAAGGACCCATCTCTTGGGGAACTTACCGTCTAGAGAGAGAAGACAGCCAGACGAGGAGAGAGGCAATCGTGGGCAGTGCAGGAGAACAGGAAACACAGGGGGCTTTGCAAGCACAGAATAGGGACTCAGTAAATATTCGTGGTTGAATGGAAAGCTCTTAGGATAATGGCTCTCAGGTAGCTCTCCAATGTGCCAGCCTATTGTGTTAGTTAGGGCAGGATAACTGCTGTTACAGACAACCCCCAAATCTCAGTGACTCATAATCTGTTTACTTGTCACTCAGGTCACAGTCCAGTGTAGGTCAACTCCTCATGGTCACTCAGAGACCCAGGTCCTTCCATCCAGGGGAGGGGATCTTGATTTCTTTTTTGATCTTCTGCATCCCCCGGCAGAGGAGAGGAAAAGACAGGGTGTGGAGGAGCATGGGGGAGGTTTTATGGGCAGGCCTGGAAGGGATTCATGGCCAATTCACCTGGTCTTGTGTGGGGGTGTAGGTAGTGACCTAGGAGTGAAGGAAGGAGCAGTGTCATGCCCAGCAGTTCCCCCAGGTGAATTCAATGGAGGAGAGGTGATTTTCCTAAACAATGAGGGTTACTTAGGAAGGGGGCATGGATTCTGGGTGGTCACAGCCTTCTAACCGGTATATATTCACTGCAGTATGCTAGTCAGGATTCTTTTAGCTTCAACTGATAAAAACCCAACTCAAACTACTTAAGGAAAAGAGGGAATGTATTGGTTCTGGTCTAGGAAGGTGGTTTCAGGAATGGCTGGATACAGGAACTCAACAGGGTCATCTTTTCTGGTTGGCTTTAGCCTCCAGGCAGGCTGTCAATGTGTGGTAGGGAAGCAGGCCACCAGCAGGTACACCCAAACATGTATGCAACAAGCCCAGCAAGGCTGGCAGGAGCGAGGCATATGTATCATTTATCTGTGTACATCTATAATATGTATGTCATATATCATGTATCCTCTCTATATATCATATATCCATGTACATATCACATATGTCATATATTGTATATCCTATATATATCATATATATGTCATATATCCTCTATACACATCATACATCCATGTATATATATCTATCATATACATGTCATATACCTACATATATTATGTATCCATATCTATGCCACATACTCATCCCAGAAAATCACTTTGGTCCTGAATGGGACCCATGACCACTCTTGTTTTGGTGATCTTGATGGAAACCCCAAGTTTACATGGTGTGGAGGAGGGACCATTTTCCGAAAAAGGGACTCAGACAGACAATACCGTCAAGTTCGCTACAGGAGAGATTACTAGATCTTTCCAAGAACATTGGGTCTATCTCACAGTCCTAGGTGTCAAAAGGAAAAGAGAAAAGCAAGGTGTCAAAAGGAAAAAAGAGGAAACTTGAGAAAAATAGGTGTCTAATCTCTTTGTTAATAGCCAATTTCTAGGAGCCAGGTATGGACTATGTGATTTTTATGGCATCTACATATAATGTTGCTTTCTTCCTCACTTAAGTTCAGAAGCAGTAGGAGACCGAGGAGTCAAGAGGTGAGGAACAAAATGTCAGCTTATTACAGATAAAGCTGTTTAGAGAACGTGGCTTGGGCATGCAGGCAAATGGAACTGCTAACACTGATCCTCAGAGTTGGACAGCCTTACCTTTGCAATCACAGGTAGATGGATAAACACAGACCTCTCCCCTCTGACTCCTGGGACAGAACATGTCTTCACAGGTAGCTGATCCCAGGTTGAGAGAGGGCTCCCCTCTTCATACTCACCAATCATTCAGTCCAGGTTTGTTGCTCTGATGGAGGCCACCCCAACCCCCAGCCCCTTTTCAAATGTGCACCACAGTAGGGAATGAGGCCAGGACCTGAGACCTGGCTGCCTGGTGGGTAGACCCTGGAATGTACAAGCAAACAGCCCCTAATGCCAGGAGCTCCTGGTTCCCGAGGAAACAGATGAAATTTGTGATGGGCAGAGAGTCAGAGAAAGAAGCATTCTTGTTTTCCTTTATTTTTTCAAAAATGACTATTCGAATAATACAATCCACTGTGAAAATTTTAAAAGGAAAAAAAAGCCAGGAAAGAATTGTAAAACTGCAAGCCACCTTCAATTCCATCATCTGGTGTTAACTATCATTACATGTTGGTGTATATCCCTTGGGCCTTTGTGAGTGTGTGTGTTTAAACAAAATTAGAATCTTGCTCTATGCATAATTTTTTATCTGGCTCTCTTTAACATTCTATATAAAGCATTTCAGCATGTCCACAAGGCTGGAGGCAGCACGAGGGCAGGAACCAAGTCTGCTTGATGATTGCTGTCTCCCCAGGGCCTCCCATGTGGACCATGCTAAAAAACAATATTGCAGAAAAGAACGATATTCACAGGTAATATTGATTAGGTGACTTCTAGGCATCACCATGCATCATCGAATTACATTCTTACAAGATAATGCAATGGGCACCTCTATGAACCATACCTTGTAGAAGAGGAAACTGAGGCCAGGGGAGGTGAAGTAGCTCACACAAGGTCACCATCAATGTTATATCCCTGCATGAACACATCCTGTATGTGCATCTTCCTACTTGACACATTTTCTTCTTGCCACTTTCCAGTTTTAATCAGGGATAGAGGGAAGCTCTGTTTACTTGAGAGAGGACTCTTTATTTGGAAAGAAGGTCTATCCCATTATGAGAGGGGGATGTGCTGAGGACTGTCACCCAGCCTTTGAGCCCCATTGGGATTCTTTTTTTTTTTCTTAATTTTTCTTAAGACAAGGTTTTGCTCTGTCACCCAGGCTGGAGTGCAGTGGTGGGATCTTAGCTTACTGCAACCTCAAACTCCTGGCCTTAAGTGATCCTCCTCCCTCAGCCTCCTTGCAGCAGGAGCCACAGCATCCCACTGGGACCCTTAAGCAGCCTGGGCACAGGATGGTGATGGGTCTGTCCTCACTTGGGCCCTGTTGCCCATGACCCACCTGTCCCAGCTGTGTGTGTCAGTGCGTCTGCCTCTCTGCCAGATGTTGGAGTCTCCCAGTATGCCCACTGACTATCTTTCAGAATTCCACAGGGGCAGATGCTCTTAATGCCCCACCTGAGTCCCCTTGGCATTTCTTTTCTGTTTCAGGACACATGGGCCCTGTGTCTGGCTGCTGGCACATGAGTCTCTGCTTGAGGGTTTATCTGGCACTGGACCCTGCTCACCAGGAATTGATGCCTCCTGGGAGTAGCCTCCAACCAATTACTCTAGGAATTGGCATTGAGATCCTCCAGCCTCCTACCCTTGAAGTGGGCAACTCTGAGGCACTCTCGGTGCCGTCTCGCAGAACTCCCAGGAGGACTGAGCTCCCGTGGCCCACGGTGCTAACTGGCTTTCTAATAAACACTTTATGAGCCTTCTTCCCTTCCCTGTCTCACTTCCCTCTCCCTCCTCCCCATATCAGTGCTTCCTGGGGTCACATCTCAAATAAGATTGGATCCTTGGCTCAAGGTTTGCTTCTTAGGGAACCCAAACCGACACTTTTTCACTCTTTTCTTCCCTGCAGCCACCACCCACCTGAATTCCCCCACAGGCTTCGTCTGCATTCTTTGCCCTCTAATCCATTGGCCACACTTGTCCTCAGAGTGGCCTTTTATGTTTTGCCCTACTCCCTATGTGGCTGATTTCCCCTGGCCTCCAAGCTGAAGTCAGCCCAGCATTCAAGGCTCTGTATGTTTCTCCCTTGTCAACCTCTCCAGTATCTTTTTGAAGTATGACTCATCCTATGCTTAGGCCATACTGACCTATGTCATCTGTTTCTGCCTTTGCACGTGCTGTTCCACCTGCCTGATGTGCCCTTCCCTATGCTGGTCATTCAGAAAACTTCTACTCATCCAGCAAGACCCATCTCAGAAGTCACCTTCTCTGTGAAGCCTACCTAGATCATCCTAGATATTGACAGCCTCTCCCTTCTTTTGTGCCCCATTTGTATATTATTTTTCCCTTGTATACAATACTTATATTACTTTATTGTAATTATGTGTTTGTATTCTGTCTCCCCAACAGGACTGTGAGCTCCTTAAGGGCAGGATCAGTCCTATTCTCTCTCACCCCAGGGCCTGCCTAGCACTGACTCTGGGACAAATTAGGTCCCCAATGAATACAGATGTCCCTTGCTATCCAAATTTTCCTATGTACTCAAAACCTAGAAACAAAATAGGTTAAGACAACATGGCATCCCACATGATTCTGAGTCCATTGTCCAATACCCGCTACCTGAATTTAGGAGTTCTATGGATTTGGATGGCAAGAGATACTTGTGTATGAATGAATTAATTACTTAATGAATGAGGGCATTCAAAGCTGAGAGCGTTCATCAACTCTGGGCACAGACCTGCGTGAAGTTGGTGGAGAGGAGGGAAGGAGGGAACATGGAGATGCCAAGCCAGAGCCAAGAAAGTTGTTTTGCTTTGGAATATATTATTTTTGCAGGTTGCTATAGTTACCGCTGTGAAATTAAAAATTAAAACCTTGTGAAAGAGAGAGGGTTGACTGAGATGAGGCAGTTCCTTGACAGGCTGAGTTATTTATCTTTTCCCCATGTAACATCTGGTTATGTGCTTGCAAATTTATTTTTAATTCAGAGCTCTAAAAAGGATTTCGTGGCAGTGCGAGGTGCCTGGATGATTGGCTTGGGAGGGAAAGGTTAGAGGGTGGTATTTGGGGCCTGCTGGTGACCCCCAGCTTCTCTCCTGGCCCTTGCTCCTGCTTCTCACACAACCTCTAGGAATCAAGGGGTAGCTCGAATGTGTCTGGACCCCCTGCCAATCAAGCAGCAGCCGTAACCATGGTTCCCAGATGCAGAGCCAGGATGGAGGCTGCTGTCTGGTTCCTGTGGTTCTTTGAGTGTGAGGACAAGCATGGCTGGGAGTGGGGAAGGTTTCGAGTTCCTATCTCTCCAGTCTGTCTCCTAACTTGTGTGTCTCTGAGTGTCTCCTGGGATCTTTCTGGACCCCTCATTCTGCCTTCCAGAAAGACAACAACTGTGGTTTAGGGGAGGCACCACTGGCCAGAGTTAAGAGATGTGGGATCTGGGTCCAGCCCAGCCACTGCTGGCTGTGTGACCCGGGGAAATCACCTTCCCTCTCTGGTCCCTGTTCTCTCCATTCTTCAGAGACTGGTTGGAGGCTGCAGTCACGCATTGGATCCCTACTGTAGGAATCTAAGTGAGCCTAAGGAGGTGCCAGCCATCACTGGAGCCTATTTTTGTGCTTTCGCCTGACTGCCCAAGGTGACAAGTTGGGAACCTGGGACAGGCTGCCCCATGGGTTCCTTTACCCTACCAAGCTTCTTCCTTCCTCGTACCTTTGCACTCTGTGTTTTCTGCCTGGAGCTTTCTTCCCCTAGATGTTCACAGGACTCCCTTCTCCGTCCCACCCAGTCTTATACGTCACCTCCTCAGCAGGGACTCTCCGCCCAGCCAGTCTGGAATGGCCTCGTCCTGCCTCCCCCACCTTGAAGCCTCTGCTTTTCTCTTCCAGCATCTGCGCTGCCTGTGAGTGTGGTATATTTTCTGTCTATCTGTCATCTGTCTGTCTGCCTTCCTGTTGTCTGTCTTCCTTGCTGGAATGTCAACCCCATGAGAGCAGAGACATCGCCTGACATTGTCTGTTTGGGTCACAGCTGCTTCCCCAGCTCGCGGAGCGGGGCCTGGCATGTTGGAGGAAGTAATAAATGTTTGTCAAGTAAATGAATGAACGAAGGAAGGAATGAAGAAAACATTTATTGGTCTCTGCTATATACTGGGTTAGGTTAGGACAAGCTACGATGGGTTAGGACTAAGGGGAAATGAATGAAATTAAAAACTCCCAGACCAGGAAAAATGAATGCCAAAGACAACTTTAGAGGAGGAAATGAATTCTTTCATAATGGCTTAGGTGTGAGTTGCGTATGTGTGTATATATGTGTGGGGTGGGTAGAGGGGGCGTTTTCTGCCATGGTAATAATAATCATATAGGTGGGTAACAGCAAATAATTGTATGTGTAAAACTTAAATCCTCTGACAATAACAAAAGTCATAATGACCATGAATCGAGTACTTATATGTGGGACACAGTACTTTAGATACATTAACTCTTTACACAAGCCCCCGTGAGAACAGGACTTGGCTGTTCTTTTCACTGCTGTATCCGCAGTGCCTGGGACATAGCAGGGGCCCAATATACATTTACACAATGAATGAATCTCCATTTTATATTTGAGGCCTTTGATCAGAAAGGGCAAGTGACTTGTCCAAGGACACACAGCTGGAAAGTGACAGAGCCAATTGAAACCAGGTCCGTTTGGCTCTGTCCATCTTGCAAAAGAAGCTCTTCTCTCTACGTTCATTGGCCTCTTTGAGTCACTGCCCACCACCACCACCACTCCCCTGAAGAAATGACTCCCCACCCCCTTCCCTCACTAACCCTCACAACATGCCTAAAACTCTGCTTAGCTCAAAGTCTGAAAGATCTTGGGCTAGATGGGAATGGAAAACAGGCCGAGCAGTTTTAGCTACCAACATTGCAAACACAGCCTGGGCCCTGTTGTCTCTGAAGCCTCCTGGCTCATTGTCATCTTTCACTATGCCTGACGAGGCTGGTGTGGGAGGACCAGGGAACAATTTGTGGGCAGACACATACATTCCAAACTTCTTAACAGGTCTGGGCTTATCACCGAGGCTCCCCCATGGTTGAGCTCCAAAAACCATGGCTGAAGCCCTGGGCCTGCATGTTCAGCAGGGATGAATAATTAAGCAGCCACCAGGCGCCAACAGCTTGATGAGGGGGGTTTTGTGTAGCTGACAATGCTGTATCCCAGCCCAACACTGATTTTGGGTAGAGGCTGTTGTTTCTGATGGCTGTCTCAGTGGTGCCCAGAGCAACAGATCCCCATGGCAGAGGGACTTATTTGATTATTCTAGTAGACAGAGGATGTGCCCTGGGGAAGGCAATTGCTGCCAGACTGACCCTCCTGGACATGGCTGGGTGATCTTGGGGAAGCCTCTTCTTGGTCCCCGTTTTGTGCCTTTGTTTCTTTGGCAAAATGGAAAAATGAGGAGTTATTGAGGAGGCGAAGTTAGGTCTCCTTAAAAAGCCCTTCCCTTTATGTTTATCCCTTTCCCTTCTTCCTACATGGAACAGGGATGTGATGCCTAAGACCTGGCAGTCATCTTGCAACCATGAGGCACTAGGAATGAGGATAAAGGACAGATAAATTCTTAAAAGTAAACTGTAAAGCACCTTGTAAAGGTGAGGGACCTCTCTGCTGACTTGGTTATGGTTTGCTTCCCCCATTAGGATATGAGTTCTGATGACAGGGACTTTGCTGATTTTGTTCACTTATGAGCACCTGAAACTGGGCATCCCCTCAATAAACATTTGTTTAGAATGATGTATGCTATTATTTGTTTAGAATGATGGATGGATGGTTATTACAAGTCAAATCAAATATGTTTCCTGGAAGTCCAATCTGTTGGATACTTGGGACCCTGGAATTTTCATGGTAGGTGGGTTCAGGGCAAGACCCCACCCCCACTCCTCATGGGTTCACATGGGCAGGTCTAGTGGCTACGTGGCCTGAGGAACAACTGCTCAGCACCCTTTTCTAGGCCCTGAGCCAGGCAAACGCCTAATGCTGGTGCATTTTGGAAGAGATAGAAAGGGGGAGGTACATCCCCTGGGAGGTAGTGTGATTCCATAGAGGGAACAAGAGCTCGGTGACAGGCAGTCCCTGGGTCCTATCTTGACCCCACTCTTGGGAAAGTTAGGAATGAACTCAGCTAGAAATAATAGAAACCCTTCTGCAGAGGCATAATCCAATTGGTGTTTATTGTCTTATAAGTCCTGGGCAGGCCACCCGGGACCAGTGTGGCTCTCACTGATGCCACTGGAGACTCAGGCTCTGCTTGCCATTCGTCTTTGCCATCTTTAGCCTGTAGCTGTTTATCCTCATTCCTAGTGCCTCATGGTTGCAAGATGACTGCCAGGTCTTGGGCATGGCATCCCTGTTCCATGTAGGAAGAAGGGAAAGGGATAAACGCAAAAGAAAGGGCTTTTTAACTGTGGAGGAAGACTGTTTCTGAGACTTCTACCTACATCTCATTGATTAGATCAGCGAGGGTCACATGCCACTCCTAGTTAAAAAGGAAGCTGGGAAAGTTAGTGTTCTGGGTTTTCTTGCAGCTAGCATGAGAATAACTATTAGCTGTGTGGGAGGAAGCTGTCCACACATAGTTTCCACAGCCACAGGCCGATTTCCCAAACCCTGAAGCCTCCTTCACCCATGCTCACTAGTGATGCTGGAACTTCCAGAAAGCAGGTCCTCTTCCTGCTGTCAGTGTAGTGATCAAGATGGGTTGTGAAGCCAAGCTGCCGGGTCTGAATCCCTACTCTACCGAATACCAGCTGTGTGGTCCCAGGCACATTCTGTAACTTCAGTGTGCCTCATTTTCCTCATCTGTAAAATGGGGATGCGGACCCTTCCCTGTGGAGTTCCTTTATGAGGGTGGAAAATGTTCAATCATCTGAAGGACCTAGAATAGTGCCTGCCTTATTGTAGGCATTCAAAAAAAATACAGCTCTTAACAACCTAAATGGCCACCAGTGGCAGGCTGGATAAAGAAAATGTACATATACACTGCAGAATACAATGCGGCCATAAAAAAGAACAAGATGGTGTCCTTTGTAGGAACATGGATGAAACTGGAGGCCATTATCCTCAGCAAACTAATGCAGGAACAGAAAACCAAATACTGCATGTTCTCACTTATAAGTGGGAGGTAAATAATGAGAACTCATGGACAGAAAGAGGGGAACAACAGACACTGGGCCTTCTTGAGGGAGGAGAGCGGGAGGAGGAAGAGGATCAGGAAAAATAACTATCAGATACTATGCTTAGTACCTGGGTGACAAAATGGTCTGTACACCAAACCCCCATGACACGAGTTTGCCTGTATTAACGAACCTGCACATGTACCCCTGAGCCTGAAAGTTAAAAAAAAGTTAAAAAAATCAGGAAATTCTTTTTCTCTCAAAAAACAAATTTTATATGTACATATAAATATATATCCGTCTTATGATTGTTGTTATTATTATTATGACTATGGTTACTAAGATAAGACTTTGATGTTGGTGAAAACAGTAAGGCCTCAAATGCCTGGGGGTGGTCCCAGCTTTGTCCCAACCTGCTGTGTAACTTCAGATGAGCCCCTATCTGGGCCAGTGTCCCCTTTGTACGATGAGAGTCTGGATCCTGATGGTTGGGTCTTACAGGCCTTCCCGGAGAGGACTCAGATGGAATCCTCCTATCAGACACTCACAGGCAGAGTGTCCTGTGATCACATCTTCCCGGAAAATGGGTCTTATCACAGGAAGAGCAGAGTCCAGGAGCAGGGGAAATTTTGGCAAGTTTGGGGGCTCTCCCAGGATTGCTGATCCCAGGCTTGGTGTCTGGAGCTGGGCCAGGGCTGATCAAGCTTTTCTGTGTGGGGAGGTGGAGGCTCTGGGCTGCCCCCACCCCCAACCTGCAGCCTCATCCTGCCCCCGTTCTGCTAGGCTTAGCTCTGGTTCCTGCTACCCTTCTTTCCTTTCTCTAAGTATTACTTCCTCTTGATGATTTCCCAGCAAAAGCTGGTTTCCCTCCTCCAAAACCAGCTTCCTGCAGTGGGAGGTCCTGCACCAGGGAGGGGCATTAAGGAGGCTCTCTGGGTCCCTCTGTGGCAATGTCGAGAGGGGCAGTGGAGTTCGCACTGGGACTGTGACCTTGTTGTGGTTGGTTGTTTTTCTGGGAAGGCGGCAGAGGAGCCCCTCTGCTCTCCAGAGGGAACTTGGCTCTTAACTGGTTGGTAACCTTAGCAGGCCTCTCTAGGCCTCAGTTTCCCCATCTGTGAAATGTGGCACTGAATGCATAGTTTTGAGAGGCCCGAGCAGATTGGATTTTGACAGCAAGGACGCAGCCACTGAGGTGCAGTCGCCTGTGGTGGCATCGGGCCATGGCAGTGTTTTTGCAGGCTATTGCAGGAGGGGGTCAGATTTCACAGGGCTCCAGTGCTCCCAGCCCCTGACTTCTTCAGGTCAGTCAGCTTTTCTTTGTTTTATTTGTTGTAACATCAGTATCCACTGAAGTTTCGAATGGAAGACAGGACTCCAAAGTTAATATAAAATGTTTGAAAGTAATAGCTAACACTTTATAGACTTACCATGTGCCAGGCACTCTTCTAAGTGTTCCACACATATTACTTTATGTAATCTTACAGTAATGCAGTCAGGTAGGTACTATTATTAGTTCTATTTTAAAGGTAAGGAAATTGAACAAAGAGAAGTCTAGTAACTTGCCCAAAGTCACTCAGAAAAGTAAGAGGGATTTGAATTCAGGCAGTCTGGCTCTTAACAAGTATTTGTTTGTTTTTTTCCAAAAAGTCACTGATGTAGCTCATCCTCTTTGCCTCCCATCTGGTGTTGGAATCCCTACTACAACATTCCACCAAATGTACTGCCTGGTCTCAGCTTGCACACCTGCAGGGATGGGGAGCTTGCTACCTCCCTGGGGATCTGTGGCCAGCTGTACCAGTTTTAAAACTCTCCCCCAAATTTATGAATTCCTTAATAAATCTTCAAGGCTCCACATGGTTTCCTGGGAAACAGAGCAGCTTGCTCAGCCCCCAGGGACCTGTTATGGTCTGAATTCCAGATGGAGAAATCTAGAAGGAGCCAACAAACCTCACATTTTGTGAACATGAGAGAGGGCACAGGGTGGACACCAGAGTGGAGGCTCTGCGTGTCTGCTCTGGAGTCATTTTTCTGCCTGAGCCTCAGTCTCATCTTCTGTGAAATGGCATTTACCAAGACCACCTTCTTCATACGGTTGCTGTGAGGATTAAAAGAGATAATCCACACGCAGTGCCTGGCACTTAGGTAGCATTAAAAATAGTTAACTAGTATCTTGGTATCATTTTTATCATCATCATCATTATCACCTATGAAGTCTCTGTTCTCACTCTGGAATTTAGGAATGACTTGGTCAGTGGCTTGACCATAGAATGAATAAGGCCAGCAGCTTGATCCCTGGATCCAAATAGTCCTCTTTGGCATATGGAGAAATTGAATCTCAGAGAAGGCTGGGGACTTGCTTAAGGCTTCCCAGCTAGTCAGTGGCAGAAAAAAATAGAGTTCCGTGGAGCAAAGGGAGAGGTGACTGGTTAATTCCACTAGATCCTCTTGGAAATAAATGTGAGATCAAAGGTCAGAAGCAGGACCACTGGGAGGTTGGGGCCAGCTCCTTGACACTCAAGCTTCTGGGAGGAGCACAGTGTGGGTATTAGAATGGTCAGGTGCTCAGATTCACACATCCATACATGTTGCCTGACTAGGAGTTTTTATGTTACATCTGGGTGTGATCCTGTTGCAGGGATGTAGCTTGGATTGGGCAATAGTCATAAACTTTTTGGAATTTGTTTGGGTGGCTTTGGAACACCAGGGGCAGGGCACCTCAATATACCTGAGTGATTCAGTAGAGAAAGCAGAGGTTCAGGAAGCACATATAGGCTTGAATCCCAGCTGCTCCACTGACTTGCTATGTAAGTGACCACTTCGAGGCTCAGTGTCATCATCTAGAAGATAAAGACGGAGTTGTTGGAAGGATTAAATGTGATGAGGGCAGCTGAGTAGCTACAGAAGTTGCCAACCCAGAATCTGTCTTAACCATATTTAAAAATTTGGAGAATTGAAAACCAAATCCAGATTGCCTCTTTCTTTCCAAAATTCAGAAAGATCCTGCCACCTTAAACTGCTTTTTCAGGAGCCCAAGTTGGGCATCTCTGGCCCCCTAGAGCTGCACTCTCTGACCTGTCAACCTGACACCTGCAGATGGGTCAGAGGTCAGCTTCTCCACCTTCCTAGCTCGACAAGTCTGTCCCAGGCCACGGAGGCAGCTGCCCCCGCTCCAGGAGCAAAGATCACTGGGAGAGGAAAATTCCCCATCCCTGGAGGTGTTTGCTCAGGGCCGCTACAGGATGAATATTTCCTTTCATAATGTTGCTAATCATTTTCCCCTCCAGGCAGGAGCGGAGGCTCTCCTGAGCTCCTCGCAGCTGTGGTGCCTTGTGGGCTCTTAATCAATGTTACATGGTAATTAATAATAGATTCTCCTGCTCCAGCTCCATCACTCCTGGCCTCCCACTCTCTCTGACAAGCTGGCATCTTCCTGGCCAGATGAGGCCGAAATCAAAGGCCTGAAATTAGAGCTGAAAATTTGTCCTCCAATTGCTTGTGGGAAGGAATCAGGATAGCTCAAACCCCTGGCAGGTCTGGCGCTGGCTGAAGTTCTCATTTTACCCTCTGATCCCATGGGTGCTCAGCCTTGCTTTATGGATGGGGCATCAGGCTTGGGGACGTTCGCCCATTTGTCCCAGTGGTTCTCACACTCTAGCGTGCATTGGTATGATTCAGTAGATCTGCAATGGGAACCAAGAATCAGCATTTCTAAGAAGTTCCCAAGTGCTGCTGCTGCTGCTGGTCCTGGGGCTACACTTCCAGAACCACTGATTTCTCTCATCCTTTTCCAAGGGCAATTCACCTGGTGCCAGGCACTGGGAATATGGCGAAGAATAAGGCAGATGTAGTGCCTGCCCTCTTGTTGGGTGGAATTGACCTGGGCATCACATGGTGGGTAGGCAAGTAGGTTTTAGAATCAGACATGCTTGATTCAAGTCCTGACTCTGCTAGCGATGCTCTCTGATCTGGGCAGCACCTGCCTTCCCAGTGCCTTCGTCCCTGCAGCTGTCTAATGGGGATAATTACGTTCTCTGCTTCAGATGATTGATGTGAAGATCAAATGAGGAAAGGAATGTACAAATATATGCTCAGGGCTGGGGGCCTGGCTCATGCCTGTAATCTCAGCATGTTGGCTGTCCAAGGCAGGAGGATTGCTTGAGACCAGGAGTTCGGGACCAGCCTGGACAACATGGTGAGACCCTGTCTCTAAAAAAAAATAAAAAATTAAAACATTAGCTGCACATGGTGGCGTGTGCCTGTAGTCCCAGTTACTTGGAGGCTGAGGTGGGAGAATCACTTGAACCCAAGACAAAGGCTGCAATGAGCTATGATTATGCCACTGCTCTCCAGCCTGGGGAACAGAGTGAGACCCTGTCTCATAAAAAAAAGTGCTCAGAAACGTTAGTTATAAAGAGTGATGTATCATTAATAACTATGTTATTATTGTTGCTGGGTCATTGTCCAAGATTGTGTAACTAGGCTCTGGGGAAGTTGAAATTCACTTATTTATTCATTAATTCATTTGACACATATGTCTTGAACAACCAAGTATGTACCAGGTGTTGGAAACACAGAGCTGAGCCCAAAAGTTAACTCTCTACCCTCATGGAGTGGACTTTCTTGTCAATAAGCGAATACATATGTAGTAAGTCGAGGGGTGTCAAGCACGACGATGCGAAACCAAGCAGGGCGGGGATAGAGATGTTGGAGCTGGGAGAGGTGAGCAGGTGATGCTCTTTTAGGTAGAGTAGTCAGCTGAGGCCCCTCTGATAAGGTAACCTTTTAGCAGAGAGCTGACTGGGGAATTATAGTGAGCCAGTAGGTGTCTGCAGGGGGCGTGTTCCAGGCCCAATGAGTGTAAAGGCCAGGTGGGGACCAAAGTCTGTCTGGGACTTACAAGCATTCCACCTGGATGTCTAACATTGCATCCAGGAGTTCCAGACCTTCATGCTTTGTGGTCCCGACAACCTATACATCTCTTCTCTCCTCCACACTGAGGACTGACCCTAGATCCCACCAGAGGCACCATATGCACTTGTATCCCAGGGTTGCGTAGCCTGGTCATCAGATACCACTGGCTTTGGAGTTGGCTGGTCCTGCTGTGACGTTGCATAGGCCACTTCCCACTCTGAGCTCCACTTGACTTGCCTTCAAACAGTGGGTGATAATATTACCTTCATCACAAGCGGTGATGAGTGGTAGACGAGCTCCAGGCCATGAAAATGCTTTGCAAGTGGGACACTTAGTAGGTGCTCAATGAATGGGGTCATCACTATGCCCTCCTCTCACTGCTTCCTTCCCTCCTCAGTGAGACCCAGGATCCAGGTGGGAGCTCAGACCTGGAATTCTTGCTTAGCCAGAGAGTGTGTCCTATTTGCATCGATTTGCATAAGGCAGGGAATGGTGTGTACCTCTTTTTGCCTTTAGTTCCTGCAAGCTCACATCACCATTTAACAATAGGGTGTTGATCTTCCCCTTTCCCTACCATTCATTTTGCCTCTTGAAAGAATTTCAAGCTGTTAATCAAATATGCTGGAGTTGGAAGCTGTTTTTATTTTGGCCTGGTGCAGAATGGGGTCACCAGCTCTGGGCAGTCCTTGATTACCTGCTTTACTGGAGGAGAGACAACAGCAATGATCTCACAAATTGGAGGGTCCTGGAAGCTTTTAAAAGAAGAGCCAGTTTTATTTTTTATGCTTACAAAAGTAGAACATATAGGTAAAATGGAAAATATATAACAGCAGGAAAAATTCCCCAACAAATTACCCATAATAACGGTAACCAAGCATAATCACTATTAACATGTTACTGTCTTTATTTCATGGTTGATTTTTCCCTCATGCAATTTTTCTATAATTGAGATTATACATAATATATATAATGCTACAGCCGGCTTTTCCCCTGTGCTATAATATTATAAACTTGCAAACATCATTTTTTATGATCATGTAATATTCCACTGAACAGATAGTTTTAAAATCCTTCCTCTGTTATAGGACATTTAGATTTGTCCAGTTTTTTTGGTGGGGCTGGGGCAGGATGAGGAGGATATTGTAAATGTAACTGTCATGAAAATTATGTTCCTGGCTTTTTCTCTGCTTATTATGGGTTATTTTATCAGAAGAGAGCTCAGAAGTAAGATTACTAGGATATAAGAAGAGTGAGATGAGCTTAAGACTGTGGATAGATTTCGCTGCATCTCAATCAGTATCTGAATTCAAGAATGTACTTTTGAGTTGGCATTGTCATAGCTTCCTCTATAAACCTCAAAGCAACATGGGACACTCTGCCATGGGATTTGTTGGGCTCCCAGCCTGACGCTCCATGACTCCTGGTGCCCCTCTCACACAGGGAACACTCAACTCTTTGCTGGGGTGGATGCAAAGCTTGGACAATCTGCTTTCTTATAACATCTTTGGGCAGAACTTGTTTATGAAAGTATCTGGAATTCAAGGATACTCAAGCTGTGTCTTCAAGGCTGTGTCTCAAGGCTCTCACAAGTCCTATTTTACAAAAAATGACTTGGCTTTGGTCAGTTAGTAATGAATGTCTTTGGCTCAAACAAATATGTATTTCCAATCCAATTTTTCATAATAAGATGTCAAGAGATAGCATTCCAGACTATGCACAGCTGCCCAACAATGTTGTCTAGCCTTTGGGCTCTATTTTTCTGTTCTGCAGTCTCTGGGACTGTGGCATTTATTCTTGCAGTTTTTGCCTCTTGGTCCCACGATGGCTGCCACACCTCCAGGTATCAAATCCTCATTCCAGGTATGAAGAAGAAGGAAAGGTGAAGGAGCAAAGGAATATGCCATCTAAGTCTATTTTTTGCACCAGAAGACAAAAGCTTTTCTAGAAGCCCCACCCAGGAGATGCTTGCATCTCATTAGCTAGAACCAAGTCCTATGGCCATCTCTGAACCAATCGTTGGTGAAGAGAAATAAGGTTACCATGATCTTTGGACCAATCAAGATTCACCCCCAGAGTTCATGTTAGGGGCCTACCCTCTTTGAGATCAGTGGCTCACCAGTGCTGTGGACACAAATCAGTTTCCTTAGCAAAGAATGGGATGGGATAGCTGAGATTACTGGGATATGTGTTACTAGAAGGAAGACATTGTCATAGGCTTTGTGGAAGATGTTATGATTTCATCCCAGGGGTAAGCTCTCATTGGCTGATGCCCATTTATTTCTCTTGCCCAGTGATTGGCTCAGAGATAAGTACATGGTCTAAATACAGCAAGGACATCCAGTCTGTAATGAAAAGAGAAGGCTCCTCTTCTTTGTGCAGTGGGGTACTTGAATATGATGCCCAGAACTGCTGCAGCTATTTTGTTCTTATGGGGTAAACCAGGCTGAGGATGAAGCTTACGAGTGTACAGAAGGGGGGATAGAGACACAAGGGAAGCCTCAAGAGATGGAGCCGAGGCCTTGATTGAACTCTACCTGAGGCCCTTATGTTTTCTAGACTTTCAGTCTCAAAAGCTAATGTACTCTTCCGGTTGCATAAACCAGCTTGACTGAGGTTTCTGATGCAAGTTAAAGCATGATAACTGACAGAGATGCAAACAGGAACTTTGAGAAAAAGAGTTATGTGGTTAAATAAGTTTGAAGAACTGGATTAAGCAAAGTTTGACAAACTTTTTTTTTTTTGCTTCCCTTAGATTCTTCTATATGCAAATGTGTAATGTGAAGCTTCAAGAGGGGGAGATTTCATGTAGCATTTCCAGAATGTATTGTCCCCAGAATTGTTTTATCGTGGGACAGGACATCATTGGGAAATGCTGACAAGCCTAGCCCCTACCCTATAAACCTTGAATTTTTGACTTGAGATTAGACATATGGTTAATGTAGACGGAGTTAGGAGGCAAGTCTAAAGGGAAGGCAAAGGTTTCAGTTCCTGGAACATCTCCGCAGTGGTCTCTGCGTTTCCTCCCGAGGGACACATTGCATCTACTAGACAGGAAAGAATGCTAATTGCAATTAGACACAAAGGAAATTCCAGGAAGCTCCAAGTAGCCTAGAGAGCCTCAGCTGGGTGACAGGTTAAAACTGATTTTTTCATCCCCAGTTGCCTACATGCAACACACACACACACACACACACACACACACACACACACACACGCACACACACACCACACTCCCTTCACCTTTAGTCCATGGCTTCCTGGAGGGCAGGGTTAAGTGTCTTATTCATCTCTTTCTCCAGGACAACACAGAGGGCCTGGCACTGAGTAGGTGCTTATAAATCCAGCCCTGACACTTGGGAGACATCTGGGAAGAATGTCACTGACAACTTGGCCCTATTGCCACATTTCACAGATGTGAAAACTGAGGTCCCGAGAGAAGGCATCTGCCCAAGCTACAGGGAAAGCCAGAGGCAGAGCCATTCAGGACGAGAACCTGATAACCAACCCCATCCTCCTTCCCCACCTCCCCACCCCCTACCCCACCCCGCCAACCCGGCTGCCACCGCCTCCTGCCTTTCCTACACCCCCTCCCGCCTTTCCTACACCCCCTCCCAGCCTCCTGGTCAGGAGTTCGAGACCAGCCTAGCCAACATGGCGAAATCCTGTCTCTACTAAAAAAATAAAATAAAAAATTAGCTAGGCGTGGTAGTGGGCGCCTATAATCTCAGCTACTCAGGAGGCTTTCTAATTATTTTATTATTTTATATTTATTTATTTATTTATTTATTTATTTATTTTGAGATGGAGTCTTGCTCTGTCGCCCAGGCTGGAGTGCAGTGGCACAATCTCTGCTCACTGCAACCTCTGCCTCCCAGGTTCAAGCAATTCTCCTGCCTCAGCCTCCTGAGTAGCTGGGATTACAGGTGCCCGCCACCATGCCTAGCTAATTTTTTATTTTATTTTTTTTAGTAAAGACAGAGTTTTGTCATGTTGGCTAGGCTGGTCTCGAACTCCTGACCTCAGGCAATCCTTCCGCTTTGGCCTCCCAAGTGCTGGCATTACAGGTGTGAGCCACTGCACCCGACCTCTTTTTGATTACCATGAGCTCTAGAATGCTGCATTCCTGAGGCCATATCCGGGCTCAGGGGGGAAGAACACCCTGATCGTTTAGTGATGTCTGCCATGGACAATGGGAGCAGGGCATGCCTGCCAATGTGTTGTCATTATCCTTGTAATATAGTGCAGCTGAATAAGGAGGGAGAGCAGAGGGAGCTGTGGGAGCCAGCAGGGAGCCTAGCCTGGGGTGAGTTCCAGCCATCTGGAGAAGACGGCAGTGACCCTGGAGGTGACAGAGAAGTGGGAGTTTGCCAGGTAGAGAAGGGCAGGAAGAGGATTCCATGCTAGAGCAACCTGGAGGAGCAACTGTGCAAAGTTCTGCAGGGGTGCTTTAGGTACAGCTTCTTACAGCTGGCAAGTACTGTGGTGGTGGGGTGGGGGGACAAGAAGGCCATGAAGAGTGGGACCAGATCACACAGGGCCTTGAAGGCCACTATTAATGTTCTAGATGTTATCCCAGGCCAGGGGGAGCTATGGTGGAGTTTTAAGCACTCGCTGAGTGACATTGTCACCCTCTTCAGAATGGCCCATTCCTGCTCTTAGTGGGGTGGATGGGAAAGGGTTGGATGGATGCAGGGGTACCAGCAGGAGCCCATGACAGCCGTCAGGTGGAGGGCAGGAGCCAGATGGGGCAGTGCTGTGGACAAGTGGCGGCAGGAATCAGGCATCTGAGTCGAGGTGTCTTGAGGAGGTTGCCCGCCTCCCCTCTCATGAATGTTTAGGAAGTGAGATGAGGGCACCTGGGGCTGCAGGGACCAGATTCTCCAGATGAATCTGCTGCCTCTGAGTAAACCAACAACTAGAACCTTACAGCTGTGGAGCTGGGGGCTGCTCAGAGCAACCTTGAGCCTGCAGCTGCCCTGGGCTGCCTGGAGGGTGAGGAGCCTACAGGGCTGGGCTCTGGGGAGATGGACCTTGGCCACCAGCTACCCAACAAGTGCAGCAAGATTCCCCTGGCAGGTGGGGCCAGGTGAGCAGCTTCACTCCTGCTTGTCTGGGTTGGGGCTCCTTGAAAAAAGTTTGTGGGAGCCTGGCTAGCCCTAATAACAGCAACACATATAAAAACAATAAGAGCTCTCCTGACATCAGCATAGCCATCATAATGCACCCCAAATCTAAAAGCTGCCATCATCTCTATGGCTACCACCTTCATCCCAGGTGCCATATCTCACCTGGATCGTCACCACAGACTCTCCACTGGCTTCCCTGCTTCCACCCTGGGCCCCTCCAGTCCATTCTCCAGGTAGCAGCCAGAGGAATCCTGTTAAAACAGAAGTCAGGTCATGTGGCTCTTTTGAAGGAAATCCTCCAAAGGCCTCCATCTCACAGCTGAAGCCAAAATCCCTACATGATAATCTGCTTCCCTCCTGGGGTGGTGGGGGGCCACCTCCCATTTACCTTCCTCTCTGACCTTGTTTTCCATCATTCAAGATCATTCCTCTCTGGCCACCTCAGCCTCTGGGCTTTCCCTGGGGCATAACTGTCTGTGAACATTTATGCCCCAGGACCTTTGCACCAGCTGTTCATTTTGCCTGGAATGCTCTTCCCCCAAATATTTGCCTGGTTCCTCTATTACCTCCCTTGGGTCTTTGCTCAAATGTCACCTTCTTATTGAGGCCTTCCCTGACCTACCGCCTTATTTAAAATTGCATCCCCTGAATCTACTCTTCTTGGCCTGCTCCCGTGCTTTTTCTCCATAGGACACATCACCACCTGATATGGTTTGGGTGTGTCCCCACCCAAATCTCATCGTGAACTGTAGCTCCCATAATTTCCATGTGTCATGGGAGGGACCCAGTAGGAGGTAACTGAATCATGGAGGTTGGTCTTTCCTGTGCTGTTCTCATGATGGTGATAAGTCTCATGAGATCTGATGGTTTTATAAAGGGGAGTTCCCCTACACAAGATGTCTTGCCTGCGCCATGTAAGACGTGACTTTTCTCCTCATTCACCTTCTGCCATGATTGTGAGGCCTCCTCAGCCATGTGGAACTGTGAGCCAATTAAACCTCTTTTCTTTATAAATTACCCAGTCTCAGGTATGTCTTTATTAACAGCATGAGAACAGACTAATACACCATCTAATATACTATGTATGTATTTTACTTATTTAGGAGTCTGATCCTTCCCTTAGGTTGTGTGCTCCCTGAGGGCAGGGACCTTGTCCTTTTCATCACTGTTGAGATTCTAGCACTGTAAACACTGTCTGGTGCATAATAGGAGCTCAATGTACTTCTGTTAAATGGTTGAAGGAATGGTACTACTTAATCCAATGTGTCTGACACTGGCCTTCACCCTCTTAACAAATCTAAGAAAGCTACGTTGTGAATTTTCATTCTTTTCTCTTTTCAGTTTGGAGAATTTCTGTTGACCCATCACTAAGTTTCACTTTCCTCCTCTGTGTCCAGTCTGTTGCTAATCCCATCAACAGAATTCTTCCTCTTTGATATTATCTTTTTCTTGCTGGTTCCAGCACTTCCAGTCAGCTCTCTCTCTCTTTTGTTTCTCATAGTTTCCTTCTCTCTTCTGAAACTTCCCATCTGTTTATGTATGTTGTCTACCTTTTCTGCTAGATCCTTTAATCTATTTATTACCATTATTTGAAAGCCCCTGTTTCAGAGTGGATGATCATTTATTGAGTACTATATGTCAGACATTGGGATAATGGATGACTTTAACCATTTTAACAAGTTGAATTGGATGAGAAAATGGAAGTTTCATAGTAGGAAGTGACCAGGGGGTGAGGGCATTGGGATTCCAACCTCAGACTGACAGCAGAGCTTTTGTTCTGTTAGTCTGCCTTTAGCTACCAGCTCTCCCAGAGACCTGGGCTCAGTTCACCAGTTTATTCACAATGAAGGATCCAGGTGGCCGGTCCCCATGGCACCTCACTGTGGCCAGGTCTCTGAAGAGTAGAGCCAGCTCAGATGCAAGCTTCCCCACTTGGCCTTCCAGACCCCTACCATCTGGCCCCATCCACTTTTTCCTTCCCATTCCCAGGGCTCCCCTGCAGAGAGCCAAGCTGGCCCCTTCCTCTGCCAGAACCACTCTCCACCTTGTTCTCCATCTTTCCACTCCATCCCAAACATGGCTCTTCTGTGTCTCATTCAATGAGCTGGGTCACTTAACATGTATTTAATCAGCTTGGATTCTGGTCTCTTCACTTACCAGCTGTGTGAGTTAAGTAAACAATTCGCTTCTCTGTGCCTCAGTTTCCAAACCCATGAAGTGGGGACAATGGAAGGACCTATCTCAGGGAAATGGCATGAGGATTGGCAAGTTAGACCATGTATCAATACAGAACCAATACAGTGCCTGCCTCTCAGCCAGTCCTTAGTAAGTGTTAGCCATCATTAACAGTGACAGCTATGATGTGGGGACACAAAGGTGGCTCAGGCCTGACTCTGCTCTCTTGGATCCCCCAATCCCGAGGGGCATCAGGCGTGTAAACCCAATCCCTGTGATCAGGGATAGAGATGGCACAGGCCGGGGACAGCCTGGAAGAGGGGCACTTCCTTTGCCTGCCTGTCTAGCCACTTGGCCGATCAGAGGGACAAAGTCACTGGGCTGTGAAAAGTCCAGCTGGCCAGGCCATGGCAGGAGCCCCCTCCTGCTGGCCCTTCCTCCAGTCCCCACCCCAGCCAGCCACATTTGCTCTTGTCAGGCAGAGGAGGCTGGGCACTGCACATGCGGGGCTAAGACTGAGGTTGTGCACACAGAGACGTAGGTAAGGTGTGAACTTAGGCATGCCAACTTGCATGCTACGAGGCATATCAGCTGGGGCAAGTGTGCTCAGTCAGCCAGATAGACCCAGACAGACACATGCACGCAGAAAGAGCCCTAACATCACAACGGCTCACACATGGCTCCTAGTATGTGCCAGGCATCAATCCGAGCATTCCACATATATTCATTTGTTTGATCCTCACAACAACCTTATAAGGTATGTTTTATTAATATGCCCATTTTACTGATAAGGAAAGTGAAGCAGAGAGGGGGTTGAGTAATTTGCTCAAGGTCATACCCAGTAAGTGGCAGACCTAGATTCCAACCCAGGGAGTCAGGCTACAGAGACAGAACTCTTAACAGCTGTGCAGATCCATGAAACACATGCACAATGACACACACTCATTTTGGACATGCAGACATGGATACATGCCTCCTGATGAACATGGATACCTTCCCAGGTATGTATAAACACAAAGACAAGACGATGTATAAACACAAAGGGATGTATAAACACAAAGACAAGGGATGTATAAACACAGAGATGTATAAACACAAAGACAAGATGAAGATGCCCATGCACACTTGCATTCACACAGTTGGGGAGGGCTAAGTAAACCACTGTTTAACTTGTGGGCAGCAGACTCAAGACCCCTATGCAGCCATAAACACTCAGGCAGACACACTCAGAGGTAGGAATGCACATGCTGTGTGTACACGTGCTAAGACTCCTTCCACAACCAACACACAGAGAAACGGAAAACAGCAATCACGATGGATTCTTATAGTATCTGCTCAGGCTCTTAGCTGACTTCTCAGTTTCCCTTCCTCTCTACGGCAGCAGCAGCCCCAGAAGGGTGGGGGCTTCCCCCATGTGATTCCCCAACGTGTTTGGCGCAATGCCTGGTAATAACATACGCTCACCCTTTCTGGCTTTCCTCACTAGAAAGAGTGTCAGGCCCTTTGCAGTTAAAAGCTTCACTTTACAGTCAGACAGGCCCAAGATATTGCTCTCAGCTGCCCTACTTGTGAGGCAAGGGATTTCACCATTCCAAGCCCACCACTCTCCCCCTAGAACGTGTCCTAGCCACGGTGGCCATTGCTCCTGTACACCAGGGATGTGCCCACCTCAGGGACTTTGCACTTGCCTTTGCCTGGATAAATCCCTGGCTAAGTACGTTTTGTGTTGCTATAGCACTATACCACAGAATGGGTAATTTATAAAGAATGGAAATTTTCTTTGGCTCATGGGTTGGAGGCTGGGAAGTCCAAAATCCAGGGGGGCTGCATCTGGTAAGGGCCTTCTTGCTCCATCATCCCATGGCAGAAGGTGGAAGGACAAAGGGGTTGGGAAAGAAAGAGAGAGAAGAAGGGAGTCATACTCATCCTTTTATTAGGAATGCACTCTCTCTTTCTTTTCTTTTCTTGTCTTTTTTTTTTTTGGAGATAGAGTCTCACTCGGCCGCCCAGGCTGGAATGCAGTGGTGCAATCTCGCTCACTGCAACCTCCACTTTCCAGGTTCAAGTGATTCTTCTGCCTCAGCCTCCTGGGATTATAGGCACCTGACACCACATCCAGCTAATTTTTGTATTTTTAGTAGAGACAGAATTTTGCCATGTTTGGCCAGGCTGGTCTTAAACTCCTGACCTCAGGTGATCCGCCTGCCTCAGCTTCCCAAAGTGCTGAAATTACAGATGTGAGCCACCACGCCTGGCCTAGGAACCCACTCTGTCAGTAACCCACTCCTGTGATAACAGCGTCAATTCATTCATGAAGGCAGAGTCCTCATGACCTGATCATGTCTTTAAAGTGCCCCTCTTAACACTGTTGCATTGAGGATTATGTTTCCAACACATGAGCTTTAGGGGACACAGTAAAATCAGAGCACCCCTTCACCTCCTTTAGGTCTTAAATGTCACCTTCCCAGTGAGGGCTTTCCTGGTGTCGCTGTTAAATTGCAAACCTCCACTCACCTCCCTTGCTCTCTCTACTCTCGCCCCTTCACTCTGTACACTTCTCCATTCTGTTCCCTGCCCCAACAGACTTGTTTTAATTATTTATTTATTGTTCATCTGCCCCACTGAAGTGTAAGCTCCATGAGAGCAGGATTGCTTCTTCACTCTGGTGTCTCCCGAGCCCAGAACCATGCCTGGTGTGTAGCAGGAGCTCGGTGACTCTGGGGAATGCAGAATGCGCTTCGCTTCATAGAAGGGTAGGAGTAACAACGCCCTTGCAGGGTAGTTGGGAGGCTGGGGAGAATCACTCATAGACGCTACATGGGACATAGCATCACCTCAGAGCTCTTTTTTAAAACTCACATACCTATGATCTGCATGGTAAGAGTTGCATGCAGCAGCTGAGTGAACTCAGTGAACCCTGAAAGGGCCCCTTGACAGCCACTCCCCCATCCTCTTTGCCCACCCTCCTCCCCGGTTCACCACTGTATGTTGGTGGACATGTTTCCAGGCCTTTCCCATATATTTACATCTGCACAGATATAACATGTGTGTCATAGGTATGCATCATACATCAATAAGATCATTCTCCATTTATTTGATAACTATTCATTGAGCACCTACTATGTGCCAGGCATTGTTGTGAGGCATGAAAAAGTGAGATTCCTACCCTCCAGAGCTGACACTCTAACAGAGTAGCCAGCAGACAAAGCTAAAGTATTCTTCCAGGTAGTGATATTAATACATGTTATGAAAGACATACATTTAGGTAAAGGGATAGAGGAGGATAGGAGTGGGGTTGTGGGGGGGTGCTTTCAGTCCAGGGGGTCAAGGAAATGTCTCCTCTGAGGAGACATTTGACTTGAGCTTGGAGGATGGGGAGGAACAAGCCCTGCAGATATCCAGGACAGATTCTTGGTAGAGAGGACATTGGGTGCCAAGGCCCCAAGCATGGCATGAAATTAGTGGGTTGGAGAACGAGTGAACAAGCCAGCAGGGCTGGAGCAAAGTGAGCGAGGGGAGGGGCAGGAGATGGGTCAGGGAGGCGCAGTGCAGAACATATGGGGTGGCATGGGGAATGCAGGTTGGGGCATACAACCAGAGCCTCAGGAAGATGGAGCAGAGGAGAGGACTGAGCTAGGATTGGTTTCATTGGGGTTTTTTGGTGCAATTTTTTTTATTGTGGTAGAATATACACAGCATAAAACTGGCCATTTTAACTATTTTTAAGTGTACAGCTCAGTGGCATTAAGCACATTCATATCACTGTGCAATCGTTACCATCATCCGCATGCAGAGCTGTTTTATCTTTCAAAACCGAAACTGCACCCATTCAACACGAATTCCCCCGTCCCCCAGCCCCATTCTACTTTGCGTTGCTATGGATTTGACTACTCAAGATGAATCATATAAGTGGAATCATGCAGTATTTATCTTTTTGTGTCTGGCTTATTTCCCTTAGCATAATATCCTTGAGTTTCATCCATGCTGTACCGTGTGACAAAATTTCTTTCCTTTTTAAGGCTGAATAATATTCCATTATATGTATATACCACACTTTGCTTATCCATTTATTCATCTGCCAGTGGACACTTGGGTTGCGTCCTCCTTTCGGCTATTGTGAATGATGCTGCTATGAAGATGGGTGTGCGGATACTTATTTGAGACGCTGCTTTCAGTTCTTTTGGGTATAGAGCCAGATGTGGAATTGCTGGGTCCCATGGGAATTCTTTGACCTGGTATTTTATGTAACAGAATCCAGGGGCTACCAGGGGAGAACAGCCACCACGGAAGGGCAGAAGCTGGGAGGCCAGCCAGGCAGCAGTTGTTGCAAGGCGCCTTGTCTTACGTAACAACCCATCCTGCAGATCCCTCCAGGGTGGCACAGGGAGTTCTGCCTGTCTCTTTAATGATTCAGGGCACTTTCACTTTCATCCTTTATTTGGGTTCATCCCAGCTCTGGAAGTCAGGTGGGAAAAGGCCTATGATCCCCTTGGAGAGACAGGGACAAAGGGGCTCAGGGAGGGAGAGTGTCTCAGCCAATGTCACTGGGCTCTAGGACGTCCTCTAGGACGTCCTTCAACCCTGGGCCTGCCTTGGGACTGACTCTGGGGGTAGATGACTCCCCTGTGAGTCTCCCTTCTATTCCCTACTCCTGCCAGGCAAGGCTGGGCAGCTGGAGAGAGCTCACAGCCAGAGCCTCTCTGCCAAGACATTAATGAGCCTGAAATCCAACTCAGGGTATCCCTGGGACCTGGAGAGTGAGAAGGAGGCAGCACCCTAATTAGCCACCATTCTTCTCACCTGCAGCTTAGGTAGCCCACCCCGACAGCACTGCCTGAGGCTGGGGGTGTCTCCCAGCAGGCTTAGGAGCCCTGAAACTGGCTGCTATTGGCTGTGTGTCCTCTTTCTGTGCCTCAGGCCCAGGAATGCATCCTGAGGAGGACAGTGAGAATTCCATCAGAGCCACAGGAAGTCACACCCCACCCGGGCTGGGGTCTGACCTGGGTTCAGGCAAATCTCAGGGCCCTGCCTCTCCTGGGATCAGTTCCTCCCTTTTTAAACTTTCACTTTTTGGCTGATGAAGCTTTGTGGGATGAAAGGAGGAATGGGAGATGCTGCTTCCTTGGGTCGGGGGAGCAGGATGGAGAAGGGGCCAGGCCCTGTCTCGCTGGTTTCCCTCCCTCCTATAGGCATCCAGGTCCCAGTCTCTTCTGCCCATTCAGCCCCTTCCTCCTTCCCTTCCTTCCCTGCATGATCTGTCCCGCCCCCACCAGCTTAGTCAGCTCAGCCACAGGGACCTCCTTGCTTTCTTCAAACAAACCAGGAGTGGGCCTGCCTCCGGGCCTTTGCACTCACTGTTTCCTCTGCCTGGAACTCTCTGTCCCAGATTCTATCTCATGCCTCCTTTACATCTTCACTAAAATGTGGCCTTTTCAATGAGACTTTTCCCGACTCTCCTGTTTAAAACTACAAATTGCCCCACTCCTCCCTGGCAGATCTCCACACCCTTCCCTGCTTTGATTTTTTCCACAGCACTTGTCGTCACTTACCACTGGCATATATTATATTCAGTTACCATTCTCTTTCCTCTAGATTGCATGCCCTGTGAAGGCAGGAATTTCTCTCTTGTTGGCTTCTGCATCCCCAATGGCTGGCACAGAATAGGAGCTCAGTAAAGATGTGCTGAATGCACAATTTCAAGGACCATCCATGGCCATTGCCATCACCCTGGTCCAGCCTGCAGCCACCCTTCCCCTGGATGCTGTGACAGCCCCCAATGCTAGGCTCCCGATGTCCTGTTTTGCCCCATCCAGGCAGTTTCCTGCCAGCAGCCAAAGTGAGCTACTTAAAATGCGATTTTGACCAGATGATCCCTGATAGAAACACTTTTGTGGGTCCCATTTTATGGAGAATGAAACCCACAGTACATCACTCAGTCTTCAAGTCCCTGCCTGCTCCGGCCTCCAGTTACTCTCAAACTCATCCCCTGTCTCCTCCCTCCATTGCAGCCACACTGATCTCCTTGGGGCTTCTTGGCCACATGGAGCCCTGCTCTGACCTCAGCGCCTTTGCACCTCCTGTTCCCGCTAACTGGGACACTCTTCTCTCTACCCTTTCTGGTCAGTTCCATCACATTCCTTCTGTCTCAGGCGAATGTCACCTCCTCAGAGAAGTGTTCCCTGACTACCCTAACCGGTTCCTCCACCGAGTCACTCTTAGCTGTTGCTTTGTTCCTATATTTATTGTCTTCCGAGTCACTCTTAGCTGTTGCTTTGTTCCTGTATTTATTGTCTTCCGAGTCACTCTTAGCTGTTGCTTTGTTCCTATATTTATTGTCTTCCGAGTCACTCTTAGCTGTTGCTTTGTTCCTATATTTATTGTCTTCCGAGTCACTCTTAGCTGTTGCTTTGTTCCTATATTTATTGTCTTCCGAGTCACTCTTCGCTGTTGCTTTGTTCCTGTATTTACTATCTTCCGAGTCACTCTTAGCTGTTGCTTTGTTCCTATATTTATTGTCTTCCGAGTCACTCTTCGCTGTTGCTTTGTTCCTGTATTTACTGTCTTCCGAGTCACTCTTCGCTGTTGCTTTGTTCCTGTATTTACTGTCTTCCGAGTCACTCTTAGCTGTTGCTTTGTTCCTATATTTATTGTCTTCCGAGTCACTCTTAGCTGTTGCTTTGTTCCTGTATTTATTGTCTTCCGAAGGAGACTGTGAGCTTCCTGAGGGTAGGTCCTTGTTAGCTTCCTGTTCTCAGCTCGGAGGAGGCACATGGCACATAGTAGATGCTCAATAATATTGTCTGGCTGGATGAATGAAGGTGTCTGAGCACACGCAGCCATTTTCCTCGTTATTCCTCCCTGTCCTCACAAGCTAGGATTGTGATGCCCTTTTGAAAGATGATGCGATTGGGTCTCAGAGAGTTTGGGCAAGCTGCCTGGACCACACAGGCAGTGAGCAGTGTGTGTCTGTACGTCCTTTGTGTGTCTATGTGTATGTCTGGATGTATCTCTGGGTGTCCAAGTGTCCTCTGTGTGTGTCTTTGGATGTCTGTGTGTCTGTGAGTCTCTGGGCACCCAGGTATTCCTATGGATTTGTGTATGTCTGTGTGTTTGCAAGTACCTTTCTTTGCTATGCACATGTGGCTGCCATGTGCATATCTCTGTTTCTCTGTGTGAGTCTGTATCTGTATATCATTGTGAGTCCCTTCATGTCAGCTGTCCTAGTGTCTCTGTGTGCCCCTAAGCATGTGTGTCCACGGTCCAGCTCTGTCAGCTCTCCCAGCCCCCACTCGGTGGTCCATGTCATTCCCTGCTGCCCCAGGCTCCTCCAGGGCTCTAACAGCCTGTCATCTTCCAGCTGTGGGGTCCCTGAGTTCTTTGGGCACCTGGGGAGCTGGAGCAGAGGAGAGAGGCAGACAGTCAGGCAGGCACTGTGCATCCCTGGGGCCCACAGACCCCAACCCATGGAAACCCTCGCTAGCCCCAGGATTGGCTCCTGACTTAAAATTGCCAATCCCTGATTGAGCTGCCAGGAGCCCGCACTGGGCTGGTTCCCATGGCAACGTGGAAGCTGCCAGGCCTCCCGCTCATAAAACAGGTCATAAAGCAGGGGGATGGGAGGAGGATCAGGGGCTGCCCAGCTGAGGGGGGGCTGGCTGCCTGGGAGCTGCTGGGGCCACTTCCCTTGGAGACCTGGCCATGCACCTGTTGGCAGCCAGGCCAGGTTCTGCTCTGCCCCTCACACTGAGCAGCCTCTTTGTGAATAGGAGTCATCATGGCCTCTAGTTCTGCCTCTAGGTACGATGTTGCATGGATCCAGGAATGCTTTGGGTGAAAGGGCCCAGCAGGACTGAGGCCTGGGAGTGAGCTCTGTAACCCTCTGTCTCCCCATCAGTAAAACGGAGAGCGAAGGGAAAGCAGCATGGTGAGTGGAAAGAACCAGGCTTGAGAGTGCACTGGGTTCAAACCCAGCTCCACCTGCAAGCTGTGGGACCCTGGGCAAATGGCTTCAGTCTCTGAGCCAAACTTGTTCACCTCTCAAATGGAGACAATAATGGCGTAGAATATTTGTGAAAATTAAATCAAAGTTTATAAAAACTTCTGATGGTGCCTGGTCCAGAGACCAGCTGTGGTTGTTAGAAATAATAGCAGCTATTATAATAATAGTGATAATTGTGTGCCAAGCACTTGTCTAAACACTTTACACGCAGCAGTTTATTTTATCCTCATAGGTGATAATTATTCCCATTTCACAGATGAGGATGCTAAGGCACAAGAGGTTAAGTGACTCACTCAAATCACAGAAACCAGAGGGAGAACTCCGGTTTAGACATGGAGTTGGGGTGCTTTCAGCCACAACCCAGTACTGCCTCTCTCTTCCCTCCCTGCAGAATCAGTGAGGCTAGGGGAGGAGTCAGCATGAGCCCCAGCCAGCCTCCTCAGCTTCAGGGCCTCCCCACTGCAGCCACGAAGAGGAGAGGGCTTGGCGAGCGTGGGCTTGGTCCTCCAGAAGGACTTGGGGAGGCAAGTTGCAGGGATCACAAAACAACCTCCTTCAATACCCTTTTCCCATTGCTCAGAGGGAGAAATTGAGGCCCAGAGAGGGCTAGTGACTTGCACAAAGTCATATAGCGAGATAGTAGCTGCAAGGATTCAAACCCAAGTCCCTTTCTTTGGAGCCAGTTATACTCCCAATAAGCCCTATGGCTGCCCAAGTACCCCAGGCCACTGGCAAAATTGAGAAGAAAGCAAAGCAATAGGGGCAGCAGTAATTCCTGTGTGTTGTGGATTTAGCAGGTATTGGGTATCACGCTGCAACCCTTCACGTGCACCTTGTTTAGTCCTCGCTGCAGTCCTATAAGGTTAAGGCACATGATACACATTATCAGCATCATCCCCATTTTAGAGATGAGAAAATTGAGGATCAGAGAGGTTATGTGATTTCCTTCAGGTCAATTCAAGAGACTTGAACCCAGACCTGCTGATCCCAGAGCGGCATACAAGGACCCAGCCCTCAATCCTGGGGTCTTTCTGTGGTGTAACTCTTGGGGCGTGCCCATGGGGGCTGCCTCGTGCTGACCACAGCAAGGCCCAAGGAATGAGCATTTCTCCGTCCATCCATCTGTCTACCTACCTATCCGTCTGTTCACTCAATAAATATTTACCCAGGGCTTTCTCCATGCCAGGCAATATTCAGGCATTGGGAGGCATACAGCAGTGAACAAAGCAGGCAGTGCCTGGCTTCGTGGCCCTCATACCCTCGTGGGGAGAGGCAGACTATAAACAGAGAAACAACAAAGATGTGTGTCAGGTGGTGGTGAGGGCTATGGAGAAAAACAAAGCCAGAGGAGGGGGCAGCGCAGGATGGCGGGGTCGGAGAAGGCTTCTCTGAGGAGGTGACATTTGAGCGGTGATCTGAAGGAGGTGAGGGCTTGGGCCGTGTGGGGATCACTAGAGAGGGGTTTCTGGCAGAGGAAATAGCGGGAGCAAAGGCCCTGAGGCGGGAGCGTGCCTGGCATGTTGGAGGAACAGAGAACAGGTCAGTGCAGCTGGAGACGGCAAGCAAGCGGCAGGGCGTTGGGGAGGTGGAGAGGTCAGTGGGAATCAGACCAAGGGCGGCCCTGTCAGGTTTTCTTCTGAGTGAGATGGAAGCCATTGGAGGTTCTGAGCAGAAGCGTGGAATCATCTGATTGAGTTTTTAAGAGCATCTTCTGGCTGCTGGAGTGAGGATGTACTACAGGGCTCAAAGGAAGAGGGAGCGGGGGTTAGAAAGGCAAGGTAGTATGTGGGTGTCAGATGGCAGAGGCTAGGGCCACGCAGAGTGAAGGAGGTGGAGAGGGAGGCCAAGATCTGAATATATTCTAAAGGCTAAGCCACAGGATTAGGGTCTGAGAACCCTCTAGGATGGCTCCAGGTTTTTGGCTTAAACCAGAATGAAACTGTCATTTATGCAGGTGGGGAGGACTGCTGGAAAAGCAGTGCGGGCCCGGGCTTTGCACATCTCAGTTCGTTTGTGCCTTATATTCCTCAAGCATCAGAATCACCGGAGACACTTGTTGAAGTCCAGATTTCTGGGATCCTCCACCAGAGCTTCCCATTCAATAGAGCTGGGTGGGGCTTGAGAATGTGGATTTCTAATCAGTTTCCAGGTGATGGCGATGCTGCCAGTCACAGGACCTCACCTTGAGACCCACAGATTGTTGCAGCTGGGGAAGTGGAGGCTCACAGCTGGAAGGCGACTGGTAATAAAGTCATAAATTGAGCCAAAGCCTCTTCAGTCCTTGGCCAGCTTCTGGACCCTGATGGAGAGAGAAGGGAGCCCTCAGACATTTGTCCCCAGAGAATGAGAAGTGGGTGTGGCTGGAGCTCCTAGGGACCCTCTGGTTTCTGCTTCTGTTTCCATGGAGGCCATAAAAAAGGGTAGTGGCCGAGCGTGCATGTGACATGCATTCTCTCCAGCTTCTCCACCCCCGGGTGTAATCCTGTCTGGCTTCCCTGAGCCCTGTGCACAGGAGGGATTCTGGAGAAGCTTGCTGCAAGACCCAGCGGTGTCCTCATTCCTTTGTTTTACAACCGTTTGCCGTGTTCGCATGCCGCAGTTGTCAGGAGTGCTATCCACCATCTGGGTCCATTTCTGGGTCTCCTCATGTGGGGTGCGTGGAGAGGCTGTACTTTCCAGCCTTCTTGAAGTTAGGCACGTCCTTGGCACTTGATTTCTGCCAAGATCTGTGAGCAGAAGTGAGGTGTGTCTCTTTCTGATGGGAGCCTCAAGAGCTGGTGAGCAATTTTTTGTCTGCATCCCCTGCCAGGGAGACTGGCGGGTTCTTCAAGGGAGGGCTCGCCAGCCTGGGCCCCTGACTGTGGACGTTATGGAGGAGAAGCCTTGCCAACTGGAGATGGACAGGGAACCGGAGTAAGAAGCAAACCTGTGTTTTTTTAAGCCAAGGGTTGGCAAATTTTCTTGGCCAGAGAATGAATATTTTAGGCTTGTCACAGCTACTCAACTCTGCTGTTGGAGCAAGAAAGCAGGCACAGACAGTACGTAAATGGGTGGTTGTGGCTGTGTCTCGATGAAACTTTGTTTACAAGATGAGTGACCAGCTTGCAGGCTATAGTTTGCCAACCTGTTTGAAGTCTTGAGAATTGGGAGTTGTTTGTTCCTGCAGCATGAACTAGCCGTAGTGACAACTGTACCTTCCATAGTGACCTTGCTGGCATAGACAACAGAACCTACTATGCCTCTGCAAGCACAAGGCAGTAGATAAGGAAAGTGTACTTGACTTTGGCTGGAGATCTTGTGGTTCTCCTCTCAGATCCTCTTCCCATCCTTCTCCTTGCTCTCTGTCCTGAGTGGTTGGCCTGCAGGGATTATGTCAATCAAGGGAACCCTTGTTGTCTGGCTTTCCATTGGGTCTGGCCCATTGGGAGCACTGGTGGGATCTGGGAAGAGAGAGGATAGTGAGGCTGGTGTATTTATTCCCCAGTTCTCTGCCTTCAAGATCCCCTCAAGCTGCCTGTGTCCTTCAACTGAAGGCCACATCTCCTATTGGGGGCTCTCTCTTATCTCCTGGTGACAGCCAACTTCTCCCTTCTCCCTCCTCTCACCCTTTGAGCCCATAATAGTTCGACTTGCACCAGCTCTGAGGTACTACCTTATCCTTTGTGGTTTGCTATACTCTTTTCTCATCCCTCCTAAGTGATCCCTTTATTAAAATCAAATCAAATGACCTACCTGGAGGGTGCCATCTGCTCCTGCTGAGACCCTGACTGCTGCTGCTTTGAGGCACACATGTCTGGGCTTGAATTCTGATTGAGTCACTGCCTTAGTTAAATCATGTCACCTCTGAGACCCCTGGGTTTTCTCTTCTGCAGACTGAAGCAAAACTAACCTCTAGGAAAGGAGGAGGGGTTTCCTAAACTATGGTATCTGTACAATGTCAGGAGGCATCTCAATTAGTGTTAGGAAAGAAGGAAGGAATCCTCATGACAGCTTGGAGAGGGTGGGGCCTGAGTGCCACTTGCCACTTGGGAAATGAGGCTAAGGCTGCGTGGGATGGAGTGTTCCGGGGCTCTGAATGGGCCTGAACCCTGGACAGACATCAGTGCATACACCTCTGGTTCAGTCCCTTCTGGGGATATTGCTGGAAAAGGGTCCCTCAGGACAGAAAACGAGGCATCAGCTAGGCCCAGGTTCAAATGTGGGCTTTGCACTCCTTGCTGTGTGACCTTGGGCAAGTGACACTGCCTCTCTGTGCTTCATCTAAAAATAGATAACACAAATACCTACCACAAATGAGAAACAGAACATAAGGCAGGCATCCTGACTCTCTTTTTGACTGCTGTATGCATGGTATCTAAAGCAGTACCTGGTGTATAATAGGTGCTTACTGCTTGTTACATGAATGAATGAGTGAACAAATGCATTTGTGTAGAGCACTTAGCACAGTGCTCACCTGCCTGAATTCAGCTTCTGATGCTACCAGTTTCCAGCTCTGTGGCCTTGGGTGCCTCATTTAAATTTCTTTATGTGGAAGATGGGATTCAAAAATACCTACTTTGTGGGATTGCTAAGGACTACATGAATCTTCACATGTGCCAGGCAGAACCAGCACTCACTCATGTTAACCATCATTGGTCACACTTTTGCTGGGGGTCAGGCTTTTTAAGCTGTTTAAGCTCTTTTGACCATGCATACAGCAGTCAAAAAGAGATTCCGGATGCCTGCCTTATGTTCTAATCCTCACTCGAGGTAAGTATTTTTATCCCTATTTTTAGATGAAGCACAGAGAGGCGGTGTCACTTGCCCAAGGTCACACAGCAAGCAGTGCAAAGCCCACATTTGAACCTGGGTGCCTGACCAGTTGGCTTACTGGAATTACCCCTGGGCTGGGGACAGAAACCTGGGCAACTTGCCACATGATATTGGATGACTGTTGCCCTCCAAGAGCCTCAGTGTTCCTATCTGTGAAGTGGGAGGTGGTGGCTGAAGTGGGAGCCTTCTGAGTCCCCTTGTAGCTTGCACCTGCACATGGGTCACTTTCGGACCAGGCTGTTGCAGGGGATGCCCTATGCACAGCCCCAGAGATGGGACATCTGGATGTGAATGGACTCAGGGCAAGTTCAGGGTCAGAGCCCTCCTCACATGCCTGGGCCAGTGGCAAGCATGTGCCAACACTACTACTACACTACATCACAAACACTACTACTAATGGTATTGCTGACCTTATTATCATCATCATCATGAGGTGGGAGCTGGGAGGAAGCCCTCGTTGGGGTAGGGGTCCCAGCTTCTGGGCCCTCCGCCCTGTTCCCGATTCCTCTATCCTTGGCCAGTGGTGCAGCGGGGAGGTGGCAGCCCATTGGTGCTCAAAGCTGGAAGAGACGTTCTTCACAAGTGCCATCGAGCCTTCTTTTTTTAACCGCCACGAGCTGACTAATGCCTGAGAGTGTCAGTCCCTCCAGCTCCGGGTGGCCCTGCAGGGGTGTGAAGTGCCGAGAGGAGAGGAAGCTGCTGCCTTCCAGAGCTGCCGGGCTGCCTGGGGCACTGTAGGCCCTCAGAGCCTGAGCCCAACATCTCCGAGCCCCTGTCCCTCTGTCAGGGCTCCTGTACGCTCTCCAAGCTCTCATGCCCCTCTCAGACCTCAGCCTCCTTTCTGAGTCTCCCCATCCTTTTCGGATCTCCCTGTCTGCCCTCCGAGCCCCAGCTCCCTCTCCGGAGATCAGTCTCTTTTTTGCCCTCCTCCCGCTTTCCTGTAGTAGTCCCTTGACAGATGCTGGCAGGGTTGCCCGCAGGGGGCCCAGCCCTGGCCTGGGTGCTGGGAATCCTGGCTGGAGCCTCAGTTCAGCCAGTGGCTCTTAGGGGACTTTGTGCAGCTCCTGTTCCCATTTGGGTCTCGCTTTCCCTATCTGTGTAATGAGAGGGTTGGACTGGATGGGTGAGAAGTCCCCTTCCCACACTGAGCCGAGAAGATTCCATAGAAACCCAAAAACCTTCCAGTAGGGGGTTAGGGGTCCAGCGCCCCAGCACGGTTCCTTGCATGGTGCTGGAGCCCCTTTCCCCTTTCCTCAGGGGAAAGTTCATTGCCTCTGAACAGCACAGGCTCTTGGCAGCTATCTCCTGAGTAGATTTTTGGATGTGCCTTTCCAACTCCTCCCTTCCTGACGTCAGCAGTGCCTGGTCCAAGTGGGCCCCCAGTGGTCTTGATTCCATCCTATTTTCCACCTTGCACAATCTAAAACTTGACCAAGGTGTGCACCTCTTGATGCTGGCCAAGTACTCTCCCCATAGATGCCCTGGCTGGTTAATGTATCACACTGAGGGCACGGAATGCTGCATGAACTCATTTTGATGGGCTGTGCAGAGTTTCGGAACCCTCTGGCTCCAGGGCCAAGTCTGGTTACTGCGGCAGCCATGAACGTGCACTGCTCAGGTCTCCTACCGTGGGGAGCATGATTGACTGACGGCCCCAGCTGCTGTCCCTTGGGATGTGCTGCCATATCTGTGCTGAACCCACATTTCCTGTGGGCTGCTGTCAGCCAACCACCGAGCATGGCAGGAATACTAAAGGCAGGCCCACTCTGGAGAGATGAAGAACCCTTCCAGTAAGTGACTTTGGCTCAAGGACTCTCCATTGGCATGGCTTAACCTTTTTTGAATTGTACTGCAGTTCAAGACTCTTCCTACGCAATCTGCCTTCCTTCTCCCTGTCCTTCCCCAGGTGCCAGACCTGCCTTCTCCTGCTCCCTCTCTCAATAAATCTCTTGTATGTTGAACTCAATCTTGACGTCTGCTTTTCAGTGGGCCATCCTAACACAGTTATTACCTACTAGGCTACTGAAGTTATGCTATACACAGGAACTGATAACAGCAACAACTAGGATTTAATGAGCACATATTGTGGGCCAGGCCATATCTCATCAACTGTTTACTTCAGCCTCATGAGGGAGGAACTCTAACTATCCCATTTTATAATGAGGAAACTGAAGCTCAGAGAAGGAAGGAACTTACTCGAAGCAGAATTTAAAAATGACTGTAGAGTTTCCAAATTTTTTGTTGATATCTCTCTCACCCTCTATGTAATACAAGCCGGTGAGTGTAGATATGAAGTCGCTTTTTGCTAATCGTCGTGTCTCCCTCCTCAGAGACTCACGTAGTCTCTGGCATGTAGAAGGCTCTTGATAAATATTTGCTGCAATTGCCAATGAATAAATGAGCAGTAAAAGAGCTGTGCACAATGGCCAAGTGGCTTAGCCACATTGCAAAAAGGTTGCAAAAAGAAGAAGCTTTTCTTTGAAAGTCCTCGGCCCTGGTAAAACATGAGGGTGTGAGTTTCTATATTTATTAAAACATATTTAGCTTTTCTTCCTTTCTCTTTCACACCCGTCTGCTTCATACTGGGGAGGCAGAGCAGAACAATGGAAAGAACTAGTCAAACATAGTAGGATTCTCCTGGCTTGGCCACCTACAATGTTCTGTGCCTCAGTTTCCCCATCAATAAGATAGGAGTATTACTGTCTACTTCATCAAGTGCCTGGCAGAGAGAAGATGGAGTGGGCACACAGCAGGTCCTGTGCTCCTGCCAGTGTCTCCTGGTAGCCCACAGAGGTTGGGCACAGCCCCATGCCAAGCTTGGGCCAACTGGGAAGGTATGGTGGCTGCGGTGGCTGCAGTGGCTGTCACATCAGTCCCCAGAGGGGCTCAGGAAGCCCAGTGCTGGCAGCCTGCTCCCTTCCCCCAGCTGCATAGAGGCATCCTGCCAACCTTTCCCAGCCTGCGGGTGAGTCTCAGGCCCCTGGCTGTCCCAGTTTCTGCTGATAGCAGAGGACCACGCGTGAGTCAATGCATCACCCGCAGGTTTCTGCAGCTGCCCTTGGATGAGCCAGGCCTGACTGGATTAGTAACTGGATCACAGCCTCCGCCCCTGCAAGCGTCAGAGGCTCAGGAATGCTGCAGGAGACCTTGGCGTCAGCTGTCCCAGGCTCCTTGTGCCTTGCATTACAGATGGGGAAACTGAGGCCCAGAGAGGGGAAGGGATCTGCCCAGGGTCACACTGAAACTCAGTGGCATTACAGGAACTCGAGCCTAAATTTTATCCCTCAGGGGCTCATTCATTCATTCATTCATTCATTCTGGATCCTAGCTCTAAAAAACAGATCTCAACTCTGCCCACTCTCCCCTGCTCCACTGTCACGCCTGTAGCCTAGCTGCTGACAGCTCTCACCTGGATGGCTGCAGTAGCCTCCTCCATCCATTTTCCACACAGCAGCCGGGGGGGGCCTTTTAAATAAAAAAAATTAGATTGTGTTACCTTCTTGCACACTCCTATAGTTTCCCATCTTATTCAGGATAAAAACCTGAGGATGTGACCAGGAACCACCAGGCCTTATGGGTCCAGCCCCTGCCACTCTGAACCCTTCCTCTTGCTGTCGCCCCTCCATGCACTTGGTGGGAAGCCAATGCCGTTGGCCTCAGTGTATCTGGAAGGCTCCACCCTGGCCCAGCCCTGGAGCCCTCGTATGTACAGTTCCCTCTGCCTAGAACACTTGTCCCCAGCATCCCCACGGCTGGTCCCTTCCACCCCTCATGTCTCAGCATGATCCCCTCCTCAGGGAGCCCGGCCAACCCAGTCCTTCCACCGCATCCCAGCTGCTCTGCCTCGCCACCCTGCCCCATCCTTTCACAGCACGTACCCCTGCCAGAATGATCGTTAGTCATGCACTTAATTGTTTATCACCAGGAAGAGTGGACACTTCCTGAAGACAGGGGTCTGAGATTCCGTTATGGCCTCGGTGCCTAAAAGAGTCCCTGGCATAGAGTATGTACTCAATAAATATTCCTCTCTCTCTCTCTTTTAACAGCATAGTGTGGGGATCATAATATTTTCTCTTTTTTGTTTATTATTATATTACAAATATATAACTGTATACTTTTTTATTTTATTTTATTTTAGACAAGGTCTTGCATTGTCAGCCAGCCTGGAGTGCAGTGGCGCAATCATAGCTCACTGCAGCCTCGAACTCCTGGGCTCAAAGGATCCTTATGCTTCAGCCTCCTAAGTAGCTGGGACAACAGGTGCAGCCCACTGCCCCTGGCTTTTTAAAAATTATTATTTTTTTTTTGTTGGGACAGGGTCTCACAATGTTGCTCAGGCTGGTCTTGAACTCCTGGGCTCAAGTGATCCTCTTGCCTTGGCCTCCCAAAGTGCTGAGATTACAGGCACGAGCCACTGTGCCTGGCCATAAATATTTCTTGAATGGAGTAAAGGAGAAAGAAGGAAGAAAGAAAGGAAAGAAAGGAGAAAGGGAGGGAGGAAGAGAGGGAGGAAGGGGGGAAAGAGGGAGGAAAGAGAGATGGGGGAAGAGGGAGAGGGGAAGGAAGGAGGGAGGGAAGGAAGGAAGGGAGGAAGGAAAGGAAGGGAAGGAAGGGAAGGAAGAAGGGAAGGAAGAAAGGAAGGAAGAAGACTAAGCAATGGTGTTGCTGGTTGTGGAGGGAGAAGGCCTGATATTGAGGAAAAATTACCAAAGAAAAGTCTGCTTTTGTTTCCTCCCTCACGTAATCTCACTTCCTCTGTGAGTAGTCCCTCCTCATTCTCCCAGCTTCCCTCTGGGCTCCTGGTGCCTGCTGCCCCGCCTCACCTGCTGCTTGTTCTCTTCTGACTCACCTCTCTTCTCAGGAAAACTAATTCTCACTCACTTGTGACAATAGGGCATTCCCATTCAAAGGGAGTTTTTATTTTTAGCTGTCTTCAAAGGGTAAAGCCAAAGAAATGAATACCTAATGGTGGAATCTCTGCTACTAGTGAGGTTGGACGACTGTCCTAATCCCCTGAAATTACATTATGTGGCTATCCCTCTGTCCCAGGTAAGGGCTGGGTGCCCACCCCCAAGTCAGGCCAGGATACATGGCCTTCTGGACTGTGCCTGTCTCTGTCACCTCTCTCCCCTCCCTCATTCACCACTTTCCCAAGATAAATCAACCAGGTCAGTCAACACGTTTTGGTGAAAAAGAAACAAGTTAGTCTTTTGACTCGACAAAGTGGGCCTTTCTCGTGGCAGAGGGGCTGGGGCAGTCGGGAGCATGTGGAATCAGCACTGCTGGGCCAAGACAAGGCCCCTTTTGTGTTCAGGGACAAAGATAGAGTGTCCCGGCAAGATGGGGCCAGGGCCTTTCCAACGCCAGCTCCGGCAGCCTGGATTGGCTGGCAGGCAGACAAGTCTACCCTGTGACTGGGCGGCCCAGGCTCCCAGCCACCGGCCGCCCCACCCCTCCCTTTGGCAAACAACTGGGTGGGGGTGAAATAAATTGTGAAACCAGACTGTCTGCCCTGTCCTGGCCACCAGTGCTCTCGGGGCTGGGGATCCTCAAACCTAACAGACCTGGTACTTGGGGGCTGAAAGTCCTTAAATCTACGATTTCCGTGGCCTTTGGAGATGAAAAAACTTGGCTTTGGTTCCAGGTTGGGTGACCTTGGGCAAGTCACCCCACTTCTCTGAGCCTCTGTTTCCCAGTCTGCAAAACAGTACAATAATAGTTCACCTCCAGCCGTGGTACAGGTTCAATGACATGGCATCTCTAAGGAACAAGGCACATGCCTGGCACAGAGAGGGCACACAACTGTCAAGTTCACAGCTCTTTACAGTTTACCACTTCATAGCTACTATCTCATTAGGTGCTCAGAACACTACCCCTACCCGTGGAGGCAGGAATAATCACCCCCATAGAATGAAGAAGAAACTGAGGCTTGAAGAAAATTTAGAGAATCTGAATTTCTGGGGATGTGGGCATTCTGGAAGGGCACCTGGTAAGGTTATGTGTGGCCCAGGCTGATAGATCCTGAGGAAGGCGGTAAGAGGGAGAATCTCCAAGGTGTAAAAACTTGAGAGGGTCAGAGACTGAAGTAGGGTCATACCCCCAGGTCGTTGCACTGGCTGTGCCCTCTGCAGAGAATACCCTTTTCCTCCCCTCCCCACCCGCAGGTTAATGCTGGTTGGCTTTTTAAGACAACTTAGCCTAGGAAAGGAGGAAATTCACTTTTCATTGGAAATCTTCTGTGTTTAAAATTTTTGCTACGTGGAAAAATTTTTAAATGGAAATATTTTGTTGAATGGTTTATTCATTCAACAGATATTTGTGGAGGACCTACTCTTCATCAGACAGTGATGCCAGATGCTGTTAAGCAAGATAGAAGTGGTCCTGGCCTCCGGGAGCCAACAGTCTAGTTCAGGGGGCTCTTAGCTTTCGCCACATCGGAATCACTTGGGGAGCTTTAAAAATTATTGATACCTGGGCCTCACCCCAGCTATCTTGACTCAATTGCTCTGCAATGGGACATTTTCTTCTTCTCCTTCTTCTCCTCTCCTTCTCTTCCTTCTTCTTCTTCTTTTTTTTTTTTTTTTTTTTTTTTTTTTGAGACAGGGTCTCCCTTTGTTGCCCAAGCTGGAGTGACTGCATTGGCCCTATCTTGGCTCACTGCAGCCTCAACCTCCCAGGCTCAAGCAATCCTCCCACCTCAGCCTCCTGAGTAGCCGGGATGACAGGGACATGCCACCATGCCTGGCTAATTTTTATTATTTTCTGTAGAGACAGGGTTTTGCCATGTTGTCCGGGATGGTTTCAAACTCCTGGACTCAAGTGATCCATCTGCCTCAGCCTCCCAAAGTTCTGGTATTACAGGTGTGAGCCATTGCCGCACCAGGCTCTGCAATGGGGCACTGGGATTTTCAGTAGCCACTCAGGTGATCCCAGAGGCCAACAGCATGGAGAACCATGGTTTTGGGGAAAGGAGACAAATGAGCAAATCACCAAAATGCACAGACCATGATACATGCATACGGTGAAGGAAATCTATACCAGGAAAAGGGACCAGCATGATAGGGTTGCTGTTGAAGATGGCCTGACCCTAGAGGGCCCCTTGGGGTGGGGGGGTACCGCAGCAGGGAGTGGGGCAAAGAAAGTGAGGAGATGGATCACTGGAAACCTGGGGGAAAGCAGTCCAGTCACAGGGAAACAGCAAGCGTGAAGGCCCAGGGATGGGAAATGGTGAATGTGATGAACAGCAAGGCGGCCGGTGTGGCTGGAAGGCTGCAGATGGGTGGGGAGGGAGAGAACAGAAGGAGGCAATGTTGAGAGGTGTCCTGTGGTTCCCCCAGGCCTGAAGGAGTCAGTGCTGCCTCAGGAACCTGACTATCTTCCTCTTATTCTTAGTCCTAGTAACCCACATAGAAACTGGCAAGAAGTGCCTGGTCTGAATATTGGGATCATTCTTGCCTGTCCCAGCAGGCTCAAAGTGAGCCCAGAATGGGTGGCCTCTTCCTCCTTCTCCCTTACCCCAACCCAGAGCCCACAAAAGCATGTGGCTTGGAGGAGACAGGTAGCTACCAGAGGTCAAGGAGTCCCTGCCCTGTGCCTTGGGAAGGACCTGCCCTCCCTCTACAAAGCTAGACAGCTGGACCTACCTGACCTGGGTCCTGGGGGCCGCTGGAACTAGGAAGGGCTCTGGCGTCATGAATCACAAACTGGCATGACATCACCTTGTCCAGTGGACATTCCAGAGGCTTAAAATCTCAGAATTCTTAATATTAGAGTAATAACTTAGTTATTTTAGAGTGTCGTATTAGAATTGCATTCAAATAATACAGAAATGTCATATTGCGTTAGCAGCCTAGATTGGAATGTTGTGGTACAATGTCTTATAATATTGCATTAGGACATGATGTAATGTTATGTGTTAGAATGGTATGTTGCTCCAGAGTGTAGGATTAGAATATTGGTTAGAATTGTGCTGAAATGTTGAATTAGAATATTAATCTGTGTTAGAACATTATATTTGAATGCAATGTTATAATAGTATATTAGTGTTACATTAAAATATTATATTGTGTTGAAATGTTTTCTTAGCAAGTTTTCTTAGAATGGCATGTTGAATCTTAAAATCAAAAGGGAGCGCATGAAATTGTGGGGTTCTTTGATGGCATGCAAAACACCACCTGACCTAGGAATGGTGGAGTAGCGGTGGCAGGGCCTGGATTTGGGCTCAGCTCTGACACTGACTCCTTTCCCTGCTCTTCCTCTCTCTGGACCTCAGTTTCCCCATTTTTACATCAGGAGCTGTTGGGCAGTGTTGGCCTCTAGGGCCTCTCTCATGCTGACTGTTTATGGGGCTCTGAATGCTGGACATTCGCGCTACGCCAACTCCCGGGCAGGAAGTGAAAATTCTGCTTAACAATGAGATTGATCTTATCAGGGAATGAATGACTTTCTGGGAGTAAACAGCTTCCTCACTGACAGGAAAAGTAAGAGGATCAAGTGACCAGGGTGAGAGAAACTCCAGACCAAGCAGGCAGGAGTATAGACCTCCAGCCAGCTGCTCACTCTTCCCTAAAGGCACAATGACTCCATCCTGCAAACTGGGGGTGAACCAGAGTCTCCTTCTTCCTTCTAGAAACATTTCCCCATCCATCCCACCCAGTCTTCTCCAGACCCCATGGCTGACCACAGTTTTAGGCTGCTATCCCTGACTGATGGGCCGAATTGCTGAGTTCTGAGCCCCTCATCTTTGCCCCTAGACGTTGGCTGGACTCTCGACCATCTCTGTTTTCCCCCTCCCCTATGTGGATCAGGGCATTTCAGAAGTAGGCCTAGAACAGATGGTTTCAGCAAAAATATCCCGGGCCTTCCCACCTGAACTCTCCCTGCCCCTCACTCTCTAGAAGAAAAAACAAGTGATGGCAAGGCAACCTGGAAAAATCCACACATTTACACAAGCTCTGATCCTTCTGTACATCTTCATGTTTTGCATGCACCACCACCCACAGACCCTGTGGTCCCTGATCCAAGACAAGGAGGGGGTTAAGAGCAAGGCCCAGCAGACCAGCTAATGACCATCAGTGCTCTTGTGCAACCCACTTCCCCTTCTGAAACTGTGTCCTCCATTGCAAAATGAAGTAAGGGTTTTGACCTTATTAAGCATGATGGGCATGAATTTGAGGTAACACCTGCAAACCATTCAGCTCAGCACTTATCAAGTGGCAAATGCACTGAGCTTGTTGAGGTTGAAATTGTCTAGAACTGGGCACACCCTACACCCACCCTAATGCCTTCAGCTTGAGGTCTGGGCCCCAGCCTTCCTGCATGCTACAGCTTGGAGGGTAACATTCATATCTCGCGGTCATCCTGAGATGAAAGGGAAAATCCACAGGAGAAAGACAGCCAGGGGTCTTGGTGATTGGAAGAAGGCTTTCTTAAGAAGCTTGTAGTGAGCATGATGTTTTTTGCTTAAATAAATCTCTTGATACTTTTGAGGGCAGACAAGGCCTTGGAACCTGGAGTAAAGAGGCTGGGCAGAGTTCTAGGCCCACATGGCGTCACTGGCTGACCTCTTTCTATCTCAGGGTTTCAGTTATCTAATCTGGAAAATGGGGCTTTAAAAGGCACTTCTTTCACAGGTCATTGTGGGGGTCAAATGAGATGGTCTAACTCAGAAATCTAGGAAAGGCCGTGAGAGGCCTGGTGTGGTATAGGGATGGAGAACAAAAAATAACACGAAGAAAAGGAGAAATGAAAGGGGAAATGGAGGGGAAGGGATAACTTAGAGAGATTGCATGCTATGGGCAGTCCCTGAGGCAGTCGCCAAGGCAACTTAGAGAAACAGCAGGTGGTAGGCAGTCAGCAGCTCTGCCACTAGCTTGTTGTGTGACTTCCAGCTGGTTCCCTGCCCTCTCTGAGCCTCAGGGTCCTCATGGGTAACACTGGCCATTCAGACTGGACAACTCCAATGGTGAACTCACCCGCCTCCCTTGGTCCCCTGGATTCCCTGATATGCAGCCGTAAGCCCTGAAGTGCTTGGCTGGGGAGACTAGAGTTGATCACAATTCCTAAACACCTTCACTCCTATTTTCATGGTTGGACCATGGATGGCAAGGAAAGGATCTCAGATTTCTGGAGGTGACAGCTGGGACAGCTGAAGATGGTCAGGTTCAAGCTCCTGCCTGAAGCTTGCCAGACGCTATCTGTCCACTTTTGCTGTGGTCACCTAGTGGGGATAGTGGAAATTGAGCAAATGTGTGTTAGTCATAAATGCCTGGTATGAGAACAAAGCAGTAAGCAAGCCAGATCCAGTTCTTGCTCTCATGGAATAACGTCTGGGGAGCAGGGTGAATAATACATTAGAACTCTGCTATTTGGTGCATATATGTATGTAATTGTTATATCTGCTTGATGAATTGACACTTTTATCAGTATATAATGTTTTTTGTCTCTTGTAAACATATTTGACTATTATGTATAGCATTCGTATAGCCATCTCAGATCTCGTTTGGTTACTATTTGTATGAAATATATTTTTTCATGTTTTCACATTCAATCTATTTGTATCTAAAATGAGTCTTTTGTAGACAGCATATAGTTGGATATTTAAAAAAATTCATCCTGTCAATTTATGCCTTTTGATTGGTGAGTTTAATCCATTTACATTTAAACTAATTACTGGTAATTAGGAACTTTTGCAATTTTGTTATTTGTTTTCTCTCAAATGTGCTGTTGAACTCTTCTAGTGAATTTTTCATTTCAGTTATTGTATTTTTCAGTTCCATAATTTATATTTGGTTCCCTTTTATAATTTCTATCTCTTTGTTGATATTATAATTTGGTTCATATATCATTCTTCTGATTTCCTTTAGTTATTTTTCTGTGGTTTTCTTTAGCTCTTTGAGCATTTTTAAGACAGTTGTTTCAAAGTCTTTATCTAGTAAGTCCAATGTCTGGGCTTCCTTAGGGATAGTTCCTGTCAATTTATTTTATTCCTTTGAATGAGCCATGTTTTCTACTTCTTTGTTGTGTTTTTGTTGTTGTTGTTGTTGAAAACTGGACATTTGAAAAAACAGCTGCCTCTCCCAGGCTTTGCAAACTGACTCTGTGTTACACAATCCTTCACCAAGGTGAAAGCTTCAGGTCTTCTCAGGTCTTTTCTGAGAATGAATCTTGCCTGCTCCTAAATGTGGCTTACTCAATTCCTCCATATGTACAGCTGCTTTTGAATGTCTTACTTTTTCAAAGAATCTTACCCCAGCACCCAGCTTCTCCTTAGGGCCACAGATGGTCTATTGTGTGTGTCCACTCATAATCTCTTGCCCCAGTCATCTATGGGTCTATAGTCTCCCTGCAGCTTCCACCAACAGTGCCCTCAGCTTCCCTCTACCTGAGATTTTAGTTAGACAAAACAGAGAGCTGTCCTCCAGGCAGGCCTCAGACCAGTTAGAGTGTTGCCAGTAAGGTAGGCTTGCTCCCTCTGGCTCAAGGGAGGGAAATGGGCTGCTGTGCCAGGGAGGGGGTTGGGCAAAAGGGAGTAAAAATGCCACAAAACTTTTTCTGCTGTTTGAAGGTGGCTTTTTCTTGATTAGGTATTCACCTGGGTGCTGTAAACCTTTGACTGTTTTCCAGAGCTCCTATATTAGTTCTAAACCAGTCTCTGGTTGTTTTCTTGGTGCTTCCATGGGGTGAATGACAGCTTGGAGCTTCCTAGTCTGCAATTTTGCAGCTGCCACTCCTCCAACCGACGGTACATTAGAAGCATTCAAATATCTAACTGCACATTACAGGGAAATGAACACATCGCTGGTGTGAATGTCTGCAGGGAGGAAGGTACCAGGGATAATTGGGATCAGAAAAGGCCTTGGGGAAGGTATGATTTTTGAACTGAAAGAGAGGAAGGAAAAAGCCAGGAAAGCAATTCAGGAAAGCATAATAGCAAAGGCCTTGAGGTGAAGAAGAACCTGGTTTGTTCTAGGCCCTGTTGGAAGGATGGTGTGGCCAGAGCCCAGGGAGGCCTGGGGATCAGAGCACACAGGGCCTGGGGGCTGGGATGAGCAGCTCGAGCTGTATTCTGTGGGGAGAACCCATGGAGGGCTTTAAGAACTAAAGAGACCTTGTGATTTTTGCTTAAAACGACAAGGCTGCATTGCAGGTAAGGTCTAGAGTGGGAGCAGTGAAGAGGCTGGTGTAGATGCCCCGGTGAGAGATGAAGCTACAGTCTGGGAATTAAGGGTCAGTTCTTGGCAGGGGTCAGAGGAAGCAGAGTTTAGTGGGAACAGCTGGAAGCATCCCTGCAGACTTTCAGAGGTGGACCAGGGAACATTCTTGGCCAAGTCAAACCAAGAATGGTGTTGGGACAAGAGGCAGGAGGGATATTTTTGCCCCTGTGGCTTCCTTTGAAGTTCTAAGCTCTACCTCTCCCAGATGAGCCTTTCCCCAGGGAAAGGAAGACAAACTGTGTCTCCAGGGTTTACAGAACCAGCCTCTGAAAGGTTTTTCAAACAGGAACTGGACCATTGAGAAGATGGGGAAGCTGGGCCCAAGGAAGGGCTGTGGCCATGGCCTCACAGCACATGGTCCTCCTTTATGGGAGGTGAGTCAGGGACTGCATCACCCAGTTCCTGCTAATACTCAAGTGTCAGCATTTTCAGTGCGTTTGAGGTTAAACTCAAGGATTCCAGAGTTGGGCTGGCCTGGCCAGAGTCCTGAGCTTTCTGGCTCACAGAGTGATGCTGTGCTGGCCACTCCCCCTCTCTGAGCCTCAGTTTCCTCATCAGTACCACTGGGGCGATGATAGTCCTCACCACACTGGTTATTGTGAACTGTGTGAGATAACACATGAAGAGCACTTAGCAAGGTACCTGGCTCACAGTGAGTACTCAATAACTGATTTTTGCAATGACATTGCTATTTACTGTGATAAGAGTAAGTATTATCTGGGGACCCTGGTGACAATTTTAGGCACCCAGCAGAACCACAGAATCTCACTTGGTTTGGTTTGGGAGAATGTCAGAGAGTGGTCTCCACTTCCTGTTCCTTATTTAGCCACGGACCTCACCTGTTCTCAGGCCACACAGCCTATCTCATGTCTAAAGTGAAATGTCATGGGTCAAAGAGAAGGAAAGATAACCCGTGACCAGGAGGACCACGAGGACCATTTGAGCTGGAACTTAAGGTTGGGTGGGAGCAACACAGGCCAAGACAGCAGGATGCCATTCCAGGAGAAGAGAGGAGCCACAGCCAGGGCTTAGAAGTCGAAAAATGATTCTTATTCCGTTCGGGTAGGCAGAAGAGAGTGAGTCATTTTGGCCACAGTGGAGAACTTGTGATGGGAGGGTGGGTACAAGGAAATCAGGCTGTAGCTAGATCATGGATGCCAGGGTGGGGGAAATTGGCCTTCACCTTAGAGGTGACGGGGACAGGGGGCTCTGACTGTTTCTGAGAAAGAGAAGGCCATCCTCAGAGCTGGACTATGCGAAGGTCACTCCGTCAGCTTGAATATAGGCAAGAGGCCCAGAGACCTGCTGGAGCCTCTCTGTGGTCTAGGTCAGGGGTGCGGAGGCCCACTCTGGGCAGTGAAAATGCACATGTAAGGAGATCCCACAGGTATGAAGGGGGTAGAATCAACAAGACTTGGCAACTAACTAGAAGGGGCAGGGGTGAGGGAGGACCCAAGCCTGACTCCCAGATGCCAGCTTGGGCAAAGCGGTGGTTGAATAGGGGCCAAGGATGGAGGTGGTGTGGGGAGGAAGATGGCGGGGGTGGGGGCAGCTCTGAACACATCTTGCCTGAAGAGCCCATGGGCCACCTGCACCGGCACTTGCCTCTATAAGTCTGGACTTGGAGATGGGTCTCGGGATTGGGGACAGGTATTTGACAACGTTTATAGCCCTGAGTTTGGCTGGCTTGTTGAGGAGACAGGCGAAGGAGAGGAGGTGGGGCAGGTATGCCGGCTGCTGCTCTCTTTGGCCTCAGCCCTGGGACAAGCTTGTCCATCTCCTCTGCTGCCCTCCCCCTCTTCTCCTCATCTTACTTCCTTCTGGCTCTTACTTAGCTGCGTCATTTTAGGGAACTTGGAAACCAGGCCTGGTGTCTTTAACTTACAAAATTATACACTCCAATGAGCCGGAAAGGGGCTTTTGGAATAATTCTATTGAAAATATGTGGGTTTTCGCCTTGAAATGATCTTCCTGAAATTATCCCCTTTCTCTCTTTATAAATATTAAAAAGAAGGAATCTGAGCTTACTGCTTTAAATCTCTATTCAGGGACTTTTTTTCTTCTGCCTCCCAGGAAAGCAACCAGTCATTTCTGAGGAAGAAAAGGACAAGGCTGGCGCCGTTTCCTTTAACATAACAATCCCACCTCACTTCTGAAATCCACTTTTTGGAATACCCCTGACCAATCCCTCCTTGTTCCCCCCTACAGCTAAGCCGGGATTTGCTGGAATATTGTGTGTCAGTGTGGGGGTGCGACAGAGGAGCCACTCCAGGAAGGGTGGCAAGGGGAAGGTGAGGAAGGCTAGAGAGACAGGCAGAGAGAGAAGGGGAGAAGCAGGGACACGGATGAAGGGGAGACAGAGACAGCAACAGCGACAGAGAGACAGAAACGAGAGATATGCAGAGAGATACGAAGAGACAGAGAAAGAGACAGAGGGACAGAAAGAGAGAGAAAAACAGAGAGGAAGACAGAAAGAGACAGAGAAGCAGAAAGAGACAGAGACAAGGACAAAGGGAGGGAGATAGAGTGACAGAGGGATGGAGAGAGGCAGGGAGAAAGAGAGAGAGAGAGAGAGAAAGAGGGAGAGAGAGAGACAAGGCACATACACACCCACACACACCCAGAAAGAGAGGCAGGAGGGAAAGCAAGGGAGGATAGAGCAGAGACAGAGGGAGAGGGAGATAATGCTAGGGAGAAAGGGAGAGATGTGTAAGAATAGAGAGGGAGAGATGGGCTGGGGGAAGAGACATGGAGACACTGAAACCCTGGATATTGAGGATTAAAGGAGAGACAGAATATTGTGGGGGGAGAGGTGGGAGGGAGAGACAGAGACAGAGAGAGAGAGAGAGAGAGAGAGGGAGAGAGAGAGACAGAACAAGCATGCTGAGGAGAGAGAAAGTAGCACACAGATGCAGAGAGACAAAAAGGGAAGACATAGGAATAGAGAAATGGGGAGGGCTGGGGAAGAGACAGAGCTAGAGGCAGAAAATGATAAAGAGAGAGAGGCCCACAGAATGGAGACGATGCAGATTGACAGATGGGGTAGAAAAGAGCCAGAGAAATTGCAAGTCAGGAAGGAGGCAGGGGAGAGAGGCTGACATGGAGGGGTGGATGAGGAGACCTGATGGGCTCTGCAGCCTGCGTGCAGGTGCGAGTGTGTGGCTTGTGAGCACAATGGCCTCCAATGGAGGGAAGCCCCTTGTTCCCAGCCCGGCCCCTCTGCTGCCTTCCTCAGTGCCTGAGAGTGGGGTGAAGCATTGCCTGCCTTTGATGCACAGAGGGTGGGGCAGAGCAGACCAGTTAACAGAGTGTGGTTTAGAAGACAGGCAACCCCGAGTTCAAGCATCAGCTCTGCCAATCCCTGCCAACCCCCTTGGGGCCCTTACTCAGTCTTTTGGAGCCTTGGCTTTCTTGTCTGGAAAATGGGGCTAACAATGCCTATCTACATCATAGGATCGCCACGGTGCCTACAGGAGGCCTCACTGCAAAGGGCTTGGCACAGCACCTGAGTCAGCTGCTATTGTCCAACCTGGAGTGTAGGGTGGACTGTAGTCCTTCTGTGATCTCATAATCCACCAGCAGACCCCTCCTGTGTACCCCTCTGTGTACTCCTGCTGTGTACCTGGAGACCCCCAGGTCTCCAGGGGTCAAACCACACCCCACAGGCACCTTGGAAGAAGAAATCCACAGGAGGAAAAAAAGAAGTAGGAATCTTGGTAGCTGGGAGAGTTCTGAGAGGGCATCTCAGGCAGCTGTGATGGGTTCAAGAGGAAATGGAGGCTTGGGTGCACTTCCCTGGTCTCCACCTCCTTCAAAGAGAACCCAGGGAGGAGGAAAGTGTGACCTTGAGCCTGTCCAGGGCTTCTGCCTGCCTGGCTGACCCAGAGCGGGTTGGATTCCATGCTCTGTGAAGGCCTTTGAGGTCCTAACAGTCAGGGGTTCTCGAAGTCCATGATTGTAAGCAGCCCGACTGGGGCTGGGGGGCGATGGGGAAGGGTGTCCCCTGCTCCCCCACCTCCTTCTGCCAAGGCTGCAGAGGGAACAGAGGCCGTTGCCTTCTGAAGGATTTGTCACAAAGCGCGGTGGTCGGTTACCGGTTACCACATAAGCCAAGGCCTTGATCTGCTGTGTTTGAGGAAACCCTTTGTTCCTTTCAAGTCTCTATTCTCTGAGCCAGGGCTAGTGCGGAGACCGAAGCAGTGAGCTTTCTCTTTCTTCCTTTTCTTTTTGGATTTTTAAAAATAACTGGCTTGCGCATTCAGGCGGTGTTCCAGAATTGGGTTCCCAGGCTGTGGTTCAGGGCCAGGGACTCCAGCAGCCCCTTCATCCCAGGAAGGCCTCGGGGGAGGGAGAGCCTAAGGGCTGATGGGGAGGGGAGGGCACACACAGGTGCTTGTGAGAGGCTTGGGCTCAGGAACCAACACTGAGGGGAGACTGAAGATGGGGTTCTAACTCTGGCTATGCACCCCATGCATGCCCAGTGCATCTTCTTCTGGACCTCAGTTTTTTTCAGTGCAGGGTTGGAGGCCAGAGCAGAGATGGCCACTTTTTCCCATGGCTGAGTCTATGCCAGACATTGCTCATCAATTGCCCTTCCCCACGGAGCTTGGATAAGCCCCAAGAAGTCTTTTCAACACCGTGCTCTGGGTATCTACTGCCAATTGCATTTGGCATGCAAAGTGAGACCTGCTTCCTGTCCTGAGAGAAGATCATCTCTGAGGCACCAATATGAAGTGGGGATGCAATAAATATTTTTTGGATGAATGGGCACTGCTTTTTTTAGCCCTTACTTCATGCCAGGCATTGTTCTGAGTACTGTTTAGAACATGCCAGGCATTGTTCTAAACGTTGAACAAAACAAAGTTCCTGACCTCAATCTCACATGTGAGGGAGACAGGCAATAAGCAAATGAACAGAGAAACAGATCAAATGTCAGGTGGTGATCAGAGCCATAAAGAAAAATTAAAACAATAGAGAGTGACAGGCTGTGGGTCGGTAGGGGGGAACGTTGTGGATAAGGTACCCAGAGAAGATCTTCTGGGAAAGAGATATGGAGTAGACAAAGTGACAGTCTCCTCAGAGCCCATCACTCTAGGACTTTGAGTCTAAATTTGTCTGACTTTAAGATTCTAATTTCATTGAGTAAGATTCTAGAATCTCGTGAATCTAGGAACCTATAACCAAAATTATAGATTTTCACTGCTCTCATATTCCATGACAATGATGCTAGAATTCTGTGACTCTGAAATTCTAGGCTTCACTGATGCATCTTTTTGCTTGAACAGACCAGGATTCATTGCCTACCCTCTCCCCACTACCCCTAGGAAATGGAGCTGAAAATAGAAACAGTCAAAACAACAAGCCATTCCAGCTCTAAGTGCCATAGTAAACAAATGGTCCAATGTTGCTCTGATAGTTTAATTGCGGCAGTTCCAGACAAGCCCATTCATGAAGGATCTTTAGTTGATGGAGAGGAGGAGTGAGCACCCAGGGAAGGGATGGCTTGTAGGGCAGGCACTTGGGGGAGGTCTGCGTCACGACCCCAGCTGAGGATGATGCTCTGGGAAGCCTGTTGGGTTTCAGCAGCCAAAGCATTGGTATTTGGATCAGGCCCCTTGGCCTTTAAGGACCACAATGGTGGCTATTTTAACTGGCAAAGTAAAGAAGTGTCTCTTTGAGGATGTGGCATTAGAGCTAGACTGGAAGACTTAAGAAGATACTAGCTTGACAGAAATCCAGGGAAGTGAGTCCCAGGCAAAGGGGAAGAGCAGATTCAAAGGTCCTGAGGTGAGAGAGAGCTTGGCAGGTTCCCCAAGTATTCAGAGCATAGGACAGAGAGGAGATGATATCAGAGGGATAAGCAGGGGCTGTTTCCTATAGGGGTTTGGAGGTCAGGGTTAGGAATATGGAAGCCACTGGAAGGTTTTTAACAGGGGAGTGACATGATATAAATCCATATTCAAAAGATTACTAAGTGCTTTGAGTAGAAGAGACTACTGGGGGCAAGAGTAGAAACTGAAAGACCAGTGAGAGACCCCAGTGTTTCAGTGAGAAATGATGGTTGTTTGGATTTAGATGGTGGCAGTGGGTCCATCTGTTTGTCTACCGCTTTGTTCTTCCCTCCTTTCTTCCATTCTTCTATCTCTTCATCCATCCATTCATCCATCCACCCATCCATCCACCCACCCATCCATCCACCCACCCATCCATCCACCCACCAACCCATCCACCCATTCATCCACCCACCCATCCATCCATGCATGCATCCATCCATCCATCCATCCATCCATCCATCCATCCATCCACCCTCCCATCCACCCACCCACCCATCCATCCATCCATCCATCCACCCACCCACCCATCCATCCATCCATTAACTAAACACTCAGAGCCAGGGGCTGTGCTGGGTGTGTCTATGGGGAGTCAGGTACAATGCTGAGATAACAAGAATGAAATACACATGGTTCCCAGCCTAAGGGGCTTACAAAACAGCAGGGTACACAAAATTGCAATGTAATGTTATGAATGCTCCAGTTAAGGAATGCATGAAGCACCGAGAGAGCTCATGGGAGGTAATTCCCTATGCTCTGTCCTGGAGGAGATACTGATGTTTGAGTTGGGCCTTTCGAAGGACACGGGAGTTGGACAGGCAGCAGAAGAGTGTTCCTGGCAGGGGCACACAGCTTGAGTAAAAAGCAAGGAGGCAGCATGAGTGAGCATGGCCGGTTCTGGAAATGTACAGATGTCTAGGTTGGTTGAATCAACAGATGCGAGTGGGGACGCTGTGGGAGAGGAGTTTGGGTCAACTTGGGAAGACGTGGAGCAGCATATGCCCATGACTGGGCCTGCCCCTTCCGCTCAGCTCTGCCTGCCCCTATCAGAGCTGAATAATTGAATTAAGTACCAGCTCTTAAACAAGATGCAGCTGTTTAGCAGATGTTGCTTCCACCCCAGATGGAGGTGCATCTTGGCGACGGGCACAACATTTCGAAGGCGTCTAATTTGTGAGGCTGTGGAGAGGAAAGAACTTCAAGATGCTGGCATTATTATTTAATAACCATCATTAATTACACACTCCCTCCCTCCAGCACCACTGCATGTCAAACATTCCTGCCGGATTGGGACTGGGGGCACAGAGGCGGGCTGGCAGGTGGGCTTGGGGGTTGGACTTGCTGGTTCTGATTCAGAAAAACAAAAGAAGAAAAGGGAATAAAGTCATCAATCCACAAAGCCTTCAAGAACTTTTATAATAATGGAAAATGACTTCTCTTGCATTTTTCATAAAATGAGTACAAATAATAACTGCTATTGATTGAACCCCCACTCAGAGCCAGGGGCTGTGCTGGGTGTGTCTTAGACATTGCCTCCAATTCCCTAATCCTCCCAACAGCCACGCATGGCCCTACCTCAGGGCCTTTGCCCTTGATGTCTCCTCCGACTGGGAAGGTTCTTCCTTCAGACACCCACATGGCTAACTCCCCTACATCTTTCAAAGCTCCACTTAAATGTCAGCTCCCCAGAGAGGCCTTCCCTGACCACCACTCCCTGAAATAATGTCCTCCACATTCTTGACCTCCTTCCCTTGCTTTTTCTTTCATCACCTGATATACGTATATTTGTTAATTGTCTATTTCTCCCTTTTAGATTTTAAGCTCCCAAGGGCAAGGATTTTTGTTTCATTCACTGTGGCCTCCCCAGCACTCAAAACAATGCTTGACACAGGACAGAGTTCTTTTTTCTTTTTTGAGATGGAGTCTGGCTCACTTGCCCAGGCTGAAGTGCAGTGGCACGATCTTGGCTCACTATAACCTCTGTCTCCTGGGTTCAAGCGATTCTCCTGTCACAGCCTCTGGAATAGCTGGGATTACAAGTGCACGCCACCATGTCCAGCTATTTTTTTTTCTTTTTTGGGGGGGTATTTTTAGTAGAGATGTGATTTCATCATATTGGCCGGGCTGGTATCCAACTCCTGACCTCAGTGACCCGCCTGCATCGGCCTCCTGAAGTGCTGGGATTACAGGCATGAGCCACCGTGCCTGGCCCAGAGTTCTATAAATATTTGTTCAATGGGTGGGTGATTCATCAGTGGGTCTCATTAAAAAATGTGCAGAAGAGTGTTAGGGAGATAAAATCTCTTTCCCAGGCATTACACAGCCAGCAAAGAGCAAGCTGAGATTTGAATTCAGCTCTGTCTAATTCTAAAGCTCTGCTCTTTTCATTAAGGACTTTGTTTTTCTTCTCCAAAGAACTTATTACCACTTACATATTATTATTATTATTTTTGAGACGAAGTCTTGCTCTGTTGCCCAGGCTGGAGTGCAGTGGCATGATCTCGGCTCACTGCAACCTCCGCCTCCCAGGTTCAAGTGATTATCATGCCTCAGCCTCCCGAGTAGCTGGGATTACAGGCATGTGCCACCACGCCCTTGTATTTTTAGTAGAGATGGGGTTTCACCATGTTGGTTAGGCTGGTCTCGAACTCCTGACCTCAGGTGATCCAACACCCCCCCCCCCACCCCTCGGCCTCCCGAAGTGTCAGGATTACAGGCGTGAGCCACCACGCCCAGCCCACTTACTTATTATTTATCTATTCATGTGTTTAATGTCTGTCCTTCCCACTACAATGGCAGCTCCACTGAGGGCAGAGTTCATCTGTTCTGTTCACAGCTGAATCCCCAGCCCCAAAACAGTACCTGGCACCCAGGAAATGCTTTATAAATATACGCTGAATGAAGGAAAGAAGGTCTGGGATATGGGAGGCTGGAGGTGTTCACACCCTTGCTGGGTCTCTGACTGGGTGAGACGGTGGGGAGCTCCAAGATGTTTTCCACTTCCCCAACCCCTCCCACATACAGACTTCTTATTCACTCTTGGAAGCAATGCTGCAAGGGAAGTATTATCCAAACCATTTTACAGATGGGGAAATTGAGGCTCAATCAGAGAAATGATTTGCCTTTCTCAAGGTCACCCAGCTAGTAAGTGTCAGAGCTGGGATTTAAACCTAGGTCTCCAGAGTTCACTTGTCATGCAAAAGGGACCCTTAATGCTTGCTAGCTCTGCCCACCCAAAGGCAATAGCTAGAAGGTCCAGAAGGTCCAGTCACAATCTATGCATTTCCCCATCAAGGTCAGGGGTGTCAGGACCAATGTGAAACTCATGCTTAATTCACAACTCCCAGCTTTGTCCATTTAAATGAAAACTTTCATGTTATTTTAACCAAAATCCCCTGTCGACTTCAATGAAAGCTTTGAATCCATGAGGAAGGTCAGAAAGGGTTTTTTGGAGGTAGCACAGGCGCCCAGTGGAAATCATATTAGCATATTCATTATCATCAGGGCCCTTTGAATGTGTTTTTGAGCTGTTCCCTTCAAGTGACTGGAGACAATGGCTCCTTTCTGTTCACAAATTCCTGGGCTTGAAGTGGGCTGTGGCCAGCTCCTGTGTGCTTCTCTGCACTTTCCAAATGGTCACAGGGAACCCGTGTCGCATAAGGTAACAGGGAGGATGTCATCCACCAGGAGTGCTGGTGGTGAATGAGGCTCTTTGTCTGGGTTTGGAAGAAATATCTCCTCAAGTCACTTAGGCAGCTATGGTGGACCCCAAAGATGGGCTCAGGTAACAAAATATGTTGTTAAACTGTCTTCTAAGGAGGCTGGACCCTATTAACAGGAGATCCCTGAGTGTGGCAGAGTCAGGGCTGGGTCTGGGGTAACAAGGTAGTTGCTCAACTCTAGAAAGTGCCAGGATCACCCAGGGAGCATTTAGCAACCATCAGTGCCCAGCACCACCTCACCAGGCCATCTGGACCCAAATCTTGGCGAGTAGGGGAGTAAACAGGCATCAAAGGTTTGTAAGTGTCCCCAGATGCAGACAGGCAGCTAGTAAGCAGAGCAGAATGGCTCTCTCCTCGAATCAGAGGGGAGGAGAAAAGAGAAGTTGTGGGTGGGGTATGGTGGGGAGGGAGGGCTACAGGAAATCCTCTGGGCATGTGTCGGGAAAAGAGAACTTCAGGGGAAAAACACTCTTTTTTTTTTTTCTCTCTCTAAAGAAAATTCTCAAACTACAGGAAGTGGAGAGAACAGTACAGTGACCCTACACGCTTGTTACCAGCCTCACCTGTCACCCACATGGAGTCCTTCCCATTTGTGGGGTTTCCAGGTGTGTGCCTGTCCCAGGGAGGCCACGTGCCCCTGCTGCCCCAGAACCTTCCTTCTGTAAAGCCCACGCTGCTCTCCAGTGATTCTGACAGTAGATCCTTGGTGGGAACACAGAGCTCCAGCTCTCAGCCCGGGACAAGCTTTGACAGGAGAGCCAGCTACTGGGACACAAGTCCTTTTGTGTGAAGGGAAAAAAAAAAATAGTTCTAATTAAAAAGAAATCCCCACCTATTTGGACTAATTCCTCCATGACTAGCTTCTCCTTAGTTCTCCTGTTTTCGGACAGGGCCTGAGGCCGATTTCCCCTGAATAGGATCAAAGAAGTGAGGGGACTAGCCTAGGGCCTGGAACACCCAGAGGGTGGCTGCTGGGGGCGTGAGAACTGGGTAGGGGTGCCTCCAGGAAGTCCTCTTATGTGTGCTTCTTTGTTCATTTGACAAGGATTTGCTGAGCACCTACTATGCATCAGACGCTGTGTTCTAGGCAAGGGGGATACACCTGATGGAAGAAGGTCCTTCCCTAGACGTAGCTAACATCCCAGTGTGGGAGATGACACGAAACAGTAAGTAAAATCTACCGCGTGTCAATAGATGGTGTTAAATGCTACAGAGAAAGTTAAAGCAGGGAAGGAGACGGGGGAGGGACTGCTGGAGTGGGTGGTAATTTTTAATGAGGTACCCAGGGAAGGCATCTCTGCAGACCCACACAAGTGAGATAGGGAGCCGTGCTGGAGGGGCACCCCAGGCAGAGGGCACAGCAGATGCAAAGGCCCATGGGTGGGAGTTCTCCTTCCAGGAGTGGTGATCACCTTGAGTGGCTGGAATAGAGGAAGGGCTGGGGAGAGCTCTGGGAGGTGAGGTCAGGGAGGCAGGTCTGTAGGGGAAACTGAGGAGGTCAGACTGTGTGACTTAGGAGGCCTTTGTTTTTCCTCTGAGTGAGAAGGGCAGTGATGGGTGGGTTTTGAGCAAGAGGACTACAAGCTCCAGCCTAGGTTTTAACAGGACATCTCTGGCTGCTGAGTTCAGAACAAGTTGTAGAAGGCAGGCCAGAGGCAAGAGGAGGCTGTTGTGTCACCCCAGGTGACAGACGATAGTGGGTCAGACTAGGGTGATCATGGAGGGCACGGATACGTTTAGAAGGAAGAGCCAATAGAATTTGTGGACTGCAAGAATGTTGGAATATGACTCAGGACAGCCAGGGCTGACTCCAAGGTATTTGACCTAAGCAGCTCGAATTATAGAGTTGGCATTTCCTGATATGAAAATCCTGCAGAAGGGGTGGGTTTTGGAGGCACAATCAGGAGTTCCATTTTGGACAGGTGAGATTTGACATGCCTGTGTAACACGGACGGAGCTGTGGAGTTAGTAGCTGGGCATGAGGCTGGAGTGCAGGGGAGACGCCTGGCCCGGAGTCACCCCAGATGGTGAGTGAGATCACTTAGGATATGATTGTAGATGGTGAGACATGGACTAAGGTTCTGATATAACAGGAACTGGGCCAGGCCATGTCTTCTGGGCCTCGTCACCTGGGATTGATGGAGGGATGTCCTGATCCTACCTCCCTCTCCATTCACCACTTCCAAATCTTAGCATTTACCCTAAAGATAAACGGGAGAGCTGAGCTAGCCTAATTTTGGTTGAAAAGAGCAGAGCCTCTCTCCTAACTTGAGCCATGGGGGTTGTTGTAAAGCTACATGCAGGGACTGGAAGGCAGGAATTTTGACCACACATCACAGAATACAACTTAGCCACTGGAACATCATTCAGGACCCAGTGCTCTGGGACTGAGTCAGTTCATAGTCATCTCAGGAGCAGACGTTTGTCAAATTTCTCCTCCCCCTTGTCTGTCTTGGAAGTTTGGCTTACTCATTGCCCCTGTGCCTTCACATTTGTTTGAATTATGTCATCTTTTAGGGTCTTTCAGCTTGTAGGCATCATCCCAACTCTTTGTGGTCCAATTCAAACTGGCAGCCACCATCACTGCTGATGAGTTTAGTTAATTGGGCTCAGCCCTGCTGGGTGGAGCTTCTGTCCCAGGCTGTATCACAGGCTGCTCAGCCTATATTTTGGCAGTCTTTGGGTCAGGTGGCTCTTCCTGCCCCCACCAGGTGTTGTGGAAGTGTGGAGATATTGGGTAAAGAATTCAAGGTCAATAATAGTAATGTCAACAGTAATAGTAACAGCATGGCTATTGATTAAGGAAGACTGCATCAGACAGACTGGGTTCCGGTTCAAGCCCAGCTTCTACCACTTACTATGACCTTGGGCAGCTCGTTCAGCCTAACTGCATCCCCATCTCTACATCTACAAGTGGGAAATAATAATGTTAACTACATCTTAGCATTGTGGTGAGGAGTATATAAACTAATCAAGAAGACTCTTATGGCATATAATTTAATCAGGGCTCAAAAAACACCAGTCACTCTTACCATGACTATTGGTTGAACAGTTCTTCTGTGCTAAATGAGGTGCTTTAAAGGCGCACATTCTCATTTGATTCCTTATAAAATCCCAATGAGACAGGTTCTTTTTTCAGCCCCAACTTATAGCTGTGAAACTGGAGGCAGAAGTGATATGACTTATCCAAAGGTCCTTCAGCTAGTACGAGATGAAGCTGGGACACTCAAACACAGGTTTATCTGGTTTCAGAACCGGTGGTCTCACTGTGTCCCCCCAGCGGGGCATATAGAATATGTAAATGCTCACCCTGGGCCACTTCCTCTGCAAGACTGTGGGCAGGAGCCCCCACAAGAAGGTGCAGGGCACTCCCTGATCCTCCACAACCCCACTCCCTACCCCAGATCTTTCTGCCTTCCGAGGAGATAATGCCTAGTCTTCTAAATACTACTCAGATCCAGTGGGATTGTGCCCCTCGCCTGCTCTGCCCTGCAAAGGCCATTCCTATTCCTTGTCCTGTGTGGTCCTCAACATTTCAATTACTTAGCAAAGCAGGGATTATTTCCTCCCATTTGACAGATGCAGAAACTGAAATTCACCGAAAGGATGGAACCGTATTCTCCCCAGTCCTTACAAGGAGCATTTGGAGAAAGGCAAAACTGAACTTGAGGGGAACAGGGAGTCACTGCATGTCCTCGAACAGGGGTGAGGCAAAGGCAAGAAAGACCGGGGTCAGAACAGAGAAGCTTGGAGCTGGAGCAGAAAGGTGCCTCATTTAACTGGGCCTGTGCCCTGCTTAGCAATGTAGCCAGTTCTGCAAAGTCTCCTCCAGACTTGGGGTTCAGTCAGGGTGTAAAGGAAATAGAATGATATGAATTCCTGGTGCCAGTTTAATTTCATGAAATATGCCAGCATGGCCCTGGGGCTTGATGCAGTCTTCCCTACTGAAGGATCACAGCGGGAAGGGAGCATCTGCAGGCTCTTGGCTCACATTTGTCACCTGTAACCTTCACACACCAGGCACAAGTCTTGCCCATGCTCCGGGGCTGTCATCCATAAACAGTCCCTGAGCTTCACATGTGTGGGTTTCACAGCACAGCTCTGGAATCTGACAGTCGAGGGTTTGAATCTCAGCCTTGCACCTACTCTCTGTGTGGCCCGGAGCAAGTCATTTAACCTCTCTGGGTTTCTGCTTCCTCGTCTGTGATCCTCACTCAGTGGGATACTGCGGAGATCAAGTGAGATATGTTCATTTAGTGCTTGGCACAGTGCCTGGTGTGTGGCAAACCCCATTACTGTTTCACACAACACAAAATAATTCGGACACTTGCTGTTGGCATAGGAATGATTAAAAGATATACGGTATAGGAACATAACAAATAATAAAAAAGGAAAGATTATTTTGATGACAGAGTGGAAGATGTGTTAGGAAGGAGAAGACTGGTATAGAAACATCTCTGCTAGGAACAGTGTTTGGCTGTTGGTAGCAAAAACAACAACAACAACAACAAAACACCTAACCATGGAATAGATTTTAGTTGGTCCTCAATACCCATGCTCCCCTTCTTCCTTAGTCAACAAAATCCCTAATTTTCATCAGAATACATGGCTTGCCTCCTGCAATAAAGATTACAGTTTCCAGTTTCCCTTCCATATCCTAGGTATGCCCATGTAAGTTCTGGCCAATGGAAAATGTTGTGTGTGACTTCCAGAAAATGTCTTAAAAGGGAAGGTAAACACCTTCCTCCACCAGTCCTCCACACTTTCTGGAATTTGAGACATGATGACTACATCTCAAGCAGCTCGGACCATGTGATAATTTAAAGATGGCTGTGGATTCTTTGATCCTCCTCCCTTTGAGAGGAGTCAATTTCCCCTGTACTTAAATCTGGGCTGACCTGTGACTTCTTTGACCAATAGAGTATGGTGGAAATGATGTCACGCCCACTCCAGGCCTAACCTCTAGGAGGACTGGCAGTTTCTGCTATGGCCTCTGGGAGCCATGAGCTGCCATGAAAAAGGTCAAACTACTCTGCTGGAGACACCCACCTGGAGAAGCCCTGGGATTCCATGGAGAGGCAGACGGACCCAGCTGAGCTCAGTGTTCCAGCCATCCCCACGAAAGCACCAGGAACCTGAGTGAAACCATCTCGATCCTCCAGCATAGCACAATCAGCAGCTGAAGATCACTGAGTGACTCTAGTCGGCGCTCCATGGATCACTGAAGGATCACCCAGCTGAGCCCTGCGCAAATTTCTGACTCACAAAACTGTAGACGATACAATGGTTGTTGTTTGGGGGCAGTTTGTTATGCTGTAGCAATAAATAGCCAGAAGAGACCAAGAGGCAGAAGTTGTTTGCTGAAAATAATGCAAAAATTATACCAGCCCTTGCCCAGCTACCTCCGGATTTCTTGCTACATGAAAAAAAAAAAAAAAATCCCTATTTGTTTAAGCCTCGTTGACACCTTGGGCTATTGCTCAGTCCTCAGTTTTCCATTTGTTAAATGGAGCATTAGCTCCTGTCTTACTACTTCCCAAAGGTGCCTGAGAGGGTAGAGTAAGAATGAAGAAGAGAAGGCCTTTTTCATGTAATATAAACAGTGCTTATGTTCCCAAAGATCAGCGAGTGACATGCTCAAACAGTTATAATATATTTAATGTGGTCATAATGGGAGTGAACTTGTCATGAACCAATTGCAATGGATTTTGGAATCAGACACGTTAGGGCTTGAGGCTCTCAGCTCTGCTAGACAAACTTCTAACTTGACAAATAGGCCAGTCATTAAATCTCTCCAAGCCTTAGTTCCCTCATCAATAAAGCACAGACGATGTGATTTCCCTCCGTTGAGTCTGTGTGAGGATTAAATTAAATGAGATTCATCCATCTATTTGATAAATATTGAATATCTCCTAGGGTCTAGGCCAAACACACTCTTGATATTGGTGGAGGCTGGTGTCCACTCACCCTTAAATCTAAATATTTAAAAATTATAAATCAGACCAATACCTTCTCTTAAATGTTCTATCCTTCTCCTCAGTAAGTATAACTTCTCAGCAGCCTGAAAGGCCAGGATTGATTTGGATTTCTTAGATACTCGCACTGAAATGTGGCGGTGCTGGGGAGAGCCAGCCCCATTCCCTGGTCGCTCATTTCCCAGCCTATAAACTGCCACCTTCCCTTCTCATCCCCAGCTCCATCCTGTACCGTGCACACCTCACCTGCATGTGTGTAGACATCCCAGGCTGCAGGTCCAATCTCCATCCACACCCTATCCTCTGCAGTGCCCCTTGGCTACACCCTGGGCTTAGTGTTCTGCCTCCAGACAATAGACCAGGAAGAGGCCTGGCAGCAGGCTTGGGACTTTTAGGTAGGGAGCTCAGGAATCCTAGGAATCTGTAGTATTCTAGACAAGGAGCAAAGACTTGGATGGGTATATCCCCTTGGCACTGCAGACTCTCTAGCCTGTGGGGATGTACGCAGCTGGAGGCTGGCCAGGGCAGAGCCCCGCTTGCCTGGGTCCAAGGATGGGCTGGTCAGCCTGTGCTAGGTGCTGCAGGTACATGAGTAGATGAAGCAGATACCACCCCTGCTTCTCCTACTCAAAGGTGAAGACACATCCCTGAAGTCAGGGCCTCAGTCTTAGCCCTATCTATAAGATGAGGGCTTACCTGATCTGACATCAGGTAATGTTGGAGACTTGGTGTACGTCCTCAGGAATGTCCTAGAAGCCAGGAGGTCAGATGAGGAGGGGCAAGCTTAAGGCCTAAGCAATCAACTTCCTCCTTGAACCTAAGGCTGGCAAGGCAGGAAGGGCACCCACCCTCTGGTCCAACTCCATCCACGCAACTCCTTCAGTGGCCATAACAACACAACTTCCCATCACACCTAGAATAAAAGTCCAGCTCCTTGCCGAGACCTGCAAAGCCTGCTACCCCCAGCTGCTGACCATCTCCAGTCTCCTTACTACTGCTCACTGAGTTCCATCCTTATGTTCATGAAACCCCACATCTACTCTCCCACCTCAAGGCCTTTGCCCTTGCTGTTTTCTCTGCTGGACACGCCCAGCTCTTTGCATGGCTAGTTCCTCTCACTGTGCAGGCCTCAGCTTACTCTCTTGCACAGAGACGTCCATTGACATCCTTTTAGGAGCAGCTCCTGTCTAGCCCCAGCTCTCTCTTGGGCGTGTCACCACTTTACATCCTTCCTAGTACAGCCAAAACTGGTGTAATGGAGTGTGCAAAAGCTTCCACTTGGGGCTGGACTGGCTGGGTCGAAACCCAGGCTGGGCCCAATATTCTCAAGTGCCGAGCCTACCTACTGCGCACTTGAGGCTATTGTTCAACCTGGTTCCCCACATATCGTGCAACCTGTTGTTTCTCCACCTATCGTGCAACCTGTTTCTCCACATATTGTTCAACTTCCTATTTCCCTTCAATAGATTATTCAACCAGCATTTTCCTATCTGTACAAGGGAGTGAGGATTACATGACCTAATGTGCATATAGCATAGAGCAGAGCCTGGCATAAGCGCTGCATTGGTGTTTGCTACGATATTAACACTTGTTGCTATTTGAAATTATTTTGTCTGTATGTTTCTTGTTTATTTCCCTCTTCTCTCTGACAGGCAAACTCCCCACAACAGCCTCCTCAACGCTGCCTCCCACAGTGCTTGGACAAAATAATTACAGCAAGATGCGGGCACTGAGCTGACTCCTTATGTAGGACATCCCAGTGCAGGTAGAGAAACTGAGGGACAGTTGGAGGTTCCTTGCCCTTGGTGATGCGGTGAGAGGGCCTGCAGGCACCAGCCCGGCCGCCCGCACCGCTTCTCGCGGACCCCAGCGGAGCCGCGCTTCTCGTGCCGCTCCTGAGGGTTTCCGCGGCGCCGGCGTTTTTGTTCCCGGCGCGTTTAAGTCGTTGAGGCCGAATCAAGCGAAGGCGGAAAAGCGGCGCGCAGCCCGCGTCAGCTGCAGTTCCGTCCCCCTGGTTCCCGGTGCGCTAACAAAGGCATTTGCATGAAAACAGGAACCCCGTCTGCAGAAAGGACTCGTTGGCGGGGTGCATCGTGCGCTCCAGTGCCCCTACCGCGGCGCCCCGCTCCCCAGGTGGGGAAGAAGCGGGGTGCGGGGACTGGCCCCAAACACGGCTCGGCCGGCGGGGACCGGCACGCTGCGGCCCGGGCGACCCCCTTCTCCGCCCCTTTCCCAGGCCGGCGGAAACGGCCGTCTCGGGCGTGGGCGCGCTTCTGCGGACTCCTCGGGACCTTTTACCCAGGCGTGCGGCCGGGGCGCCCGGGGCCTCGGGGAGCCGGCGCCAGCGTGCGGAGCGCAGCGGAGCGGAGGGAGCGGCGGGAGCGGCGTCCGTGGCTGGTCCAGGTCTGGGGCGCAGCCTCCAGGCTCGCCCTGCGCCGCTCTGGGCCTCGGCCTCTTCGCCTGTTCGACCGGGGCGCAAGCGTGTCACAGCGCCTGTCTGCAGGGGGAAGCGGGCTTCCCAGAGGGGCGCGTGGCTCGCAGAGGGGCTCCGGGAATATCCGCTCCGTTGGCCCTTTCCAGAGCTTTTCCTTAGCTGCTTCTCCTTTGAAATCCGCCTTTTTCCCAGCAGCCCTTGGAGGCAGGATAAATTAAGTGGTAAAAGCAGAGGATTAGGAACCGGGAACCCTGGATTCAAATCCTGCCCGCCGCTGACCAGCTTTGTAACCATGAGCAGGTTACTCCGCCTCTGGAGGCCTCAGCTTCCCCGTCTGTAAAATGGGGCCTAACACAGTCCAGAAAGTGCTTAGTGCCGCAGTGTCACACACCGAGTGCTTAATTCATTCTTAAAATTATCACTTCCAGCTGTGGGACAGGCGCAGGGTAGAAAGGGGTTTTCTTAAGGTCACAGGCGGGGTCAAAGGCAAACCCTCCGGGTCCTCACAAGTAAGACTTGCGAAGCAGCAAGTTCCCCAAAGGGTCTTATCCAGCCGGGTAAGGAGCGCCGGGGCATCTCCCCCCTCTCTCTCCGCGAAGACGCACAAGCAATGGCTGGCGAACCTACTGCCTGGAATGGGGTTCTTGGGTCGAGACCTTTAAAAAAATAAAGAAGAGGAAGAAGAAAGAAAGAAAACAAACAAACATGCACGCAAAAACGGAATGCCAGAGCCTTTGATCTAGGAGCCAGCTTGCTATTCAGGGCCGACCACCGTCTCGCCGCAGTTCCTCCCCGGGAAGGAAGCCTCGCGCTGCCCTCCGGTGGCAGGCGAGGTAGTGTCGCCTGGGCGCAACTCACAAGCAGGGGTTTACCGGAGAAGCCAGCTTCGCTCTGCGCGGGTGGGGGCTGTGGGGGAGAGAGGAGGGAAAATCGGAATTGTTCCCTGACTGCTGTTTTTTGGTCCCGGTGGATCTTGGGAGTCTTGGAAAGAGAATAATAAGGCTCTCTGCATTTGAAAGGCATAGGAGTTTTTACATTCTGGTTTTATTTATTTTTGAATGGATAACACATTTACACGATTCAAAAGATAAAAAAGAGGATAGCGTGAAAAGGAAGTCTCGCTTCCACTCTTGTTCCCCAGGCACCCAGTTCCCCTTCCTAGAGACAGCCATTGTTACATGTTTCTGTGTACCCACCCGGAGACAGTCCATGCAAATGCAAGTATTTTACAGGATCAATAGTAGCTTGCTCTGTATACTCTTCTGCCTCTTGCTGCTTCGCTTAAAAATGCATCATGGAGTTTGTTCCATGTTGATTCACATAGGGCTGCCTCGTTCTTTTGAACAGCTGCATAATATTCCATTGTTTGGCTCTCCTGTAATTATTTGATCAGTGTTCTATTGATGAGCCTTGAGGCTGCTTCTAATCTTCTGTAATCACAGTGTGTTACAACAAATAAGCACCTACATGCATTGTTATGCCTAGGTGCCAGTGAGGCACATAGCTATTGCGGTATAACAAACCACTCCGAAATTCAGTGGCTTTAAATAGAAAGCTTTTGGTATTGCTCATGTGGGTCAGCTGGGTAGCACTGCTGATCTGGGCCAAGCTCAGCTAACTTTGCATTTGCTCCTTGTGTCTGGGATCAGAAAGGGTGGGTCAGCTGGGGCTGGTTTATTTAGGATGGTCTAAATCACATGTCTGGTAGTTGACTGGCTATCAGCTAGGGTTAGAGGGGTGTTCAGGCTATGTGTCCGTCAACATCTGATAACATGCAGTGCCTCCTGAGACTGTATAACTGGTGTGAATTTACATCCATTACATTCTGTTGGTGCAAACATGTCACAAGCCAGCCCAGATTCAAGAGGTGGGGAAATAGAAATCACTTCTCCCAGGGAGGAGCAGCAAAGTCACACGGCAGAGTATGATGCAAGGGCCCTGAGGTATTGTGGCCATTTAAAAATATATTTATAATGTTATAGTTAGCATTATGGTGATAACATTACCTTTGGATATAAACATTACCTTTGCCATTACCTGACAGACGTTACCTCAAGCCTCAAGGCTCATCAACAGAAGACTGATCAAATAATTAACAACAATAATAATTAACAACAACAATAATTTCAACAGAAGACTGATCAAATAATTAACTAGGCCATCAGGGTTGACATTAAGTGATATTGATATTGATAGCATATTCTCTTGATATAACTTTTTGAGAATGACACTGTACCTCTGTGGTTTTCCTCCCCCAAACCAGTCTAATAATAACCCCAGTCTAATAATGAGAATAGCCTCACAGAATAGCCGCTATGCACAGCCTCCACTTAAGGGATGGGGAGTTATGCTTCACTTCCTTGAGGGGGCAGTATGTAATAAGTTATTTGGAATTCTTCTGCTACTGGTTTATTCAGTCATTTATTCTATCCGTGTGCACTCATGGATATTTATTTTGTACTTTTCATTATAATCCAATACTATGTTATTTATATTGTTGCTTAAATTGTTCCAGTTTTGGCGCCTGGGAGCTCTCTCTATTGGCTCCTGTTTCCCTTTGCCATAATTTTTTGTTATGTTTTTGAGCCCTTCCTTACTTTCTGGCACTAAAGCTGCTCCAGACTCATCTTGCATATTTTCTTCCCAGCCCTAGAATCAGCCGTTTCTCCAGGGAGCCCGGTTCCTTTCACTGGAGAATGTTCTTAGAAACAGATCTGGATGGTGGGTTTGCATGTTGCTATTGGGGACCCACTACCAGGGGGCAGAGCTAGGAAATACATGTATGTATCCTAGCCCGTGTATTCACATAACTGTAATGATTCTGTATCTATCATTGGTATCTATATTAAGTTAAACATGAGCTCATGCTACCGTCTCTGACTCTAACACATTCATACAGTTCATTCTATCCTTCTCCCTTTGCTTATCTATAACCTCCCACTTCAGCAGTGAAAAACCTGGCTCCTACCATCTGCCATCCATTTACTTAATTGTTCAATGTTAGTACACATGTACTGGGGTTTCAGAATTGTCAAACCATACCCCTGTGAGACACAGCTCTACCAACTGGAGGGCAGTGCTTATGGACAGCTCTTTTCATCTTGAGTCTTCTTGTTTCCAGTCATTTCCAAAGTTGTTTAGGTCAGCACCTCTAGTCTCCATGCCCTTCAATGAGATCCCTCGTACGTTTGTAATACAATTAGATTCTGTTGCCATCATCTGCATTTTATCCTGTGATTCCCCATCCTCCTAGTAGATTTTTAAAAATTGGCATACATTAAGGTTTACTTTTTTTTTTTTTTTTTTTGAGATGTAGTTTCCCTCTTGTTGCAAGGTCGCGCAATGGCGCAATCTTGGCTCACCGGAACCTCCGCCTCCCGGGTTCAAGCGATTCTCCTCCTCAGCCGCCCGAGTAGCTGGGATTGCAGGCATGCACCACCACACCCAGCTAATTTTGTATTTTTAGTAGAGATGGGGTTTCTCCATGTTGGTCAGGCTGCTCTCGAACTCCCGACCTCAGGTGATCCACTTGCCTCGGCCTCCCAAAGTGCTGGGATTACAGGTGTGAGCCACCGCGCCCGGCCAAGGTTTACTTTTTGTGCTGTAAAATTCTATGGTTTTGACAAATGCATAGTGACAAATGGATAGTGTAGGACCTCTTTATATGTTCTAGATATCAAGCCCTTAGCAGATATATCAATCACTACAGTACCACACAGAATAGTTTCATGGCTGTAAAATATCCACTGTGCTTCACTTAGCCACCTGTCTCCTTCTTCTCAGTCCTCTGGCAACCACTGATCTATTTCCCATCTCTATCATTTGCTTTTTTAAAGAAATCATATAAACGGAATTATCATATATATATATACGTATATGTATATATGTATATACACACGCACACACACACACACACACACACACATATATATATATATAAAACATTTGGAAACTGGCTTCTTTCATTTAGCAATATGCACTTAAGATTCATCCATATTGTTGTGTGAATTAACAGTTCCTTTTATCTCCGAATAATGTTCCATAGTATGACTGTTCCACTGTTTGTTTATCCATTCACCTATTAAAGGACATCTTAGTTGCATCTGGCTTTATTATGAATAAAGCTGCTATAAACATTGTGTGCAGGTTTTTGTGTAGACATAAGATTCCTTATCAGTTGAGTAAATACCTAGGGACATAATTTCTAGATTGTATGGTAAATCAATGTTTAACTTTATAAGAAACTGCCAAACTTCCAAACCGTACTTCCAAAGTACCATTTTTCATTCCCACTAGCAATGAGTGACAGTTTCTGTTGCTCTGCATCTTCATCAGCACTGGTATTGCCAGTTGGTTGTAATTTAGCTATTTTTATAGGTGTGTAGTAGTTGTTTTAATTTGCATTTCTATAATGACGAATGATCATTTCTTCAAATGCTTATTTGCCATTTGTATACATTCTTTGGTGAGATGTCTGTTCATATCTTGTGCCCATTTTTTAATGTAGATGTTTGCTTTCTTATTGTTGAGTTTTAGACATTGTTTGCATATTCTGGATATGATCTTTGGGATGGTTAATTTTATGTGTCAACTTCTCTGGGCTATCACAAGGGATGCCCAGATAGCTGGTAAAACTATTTCTTGGTGTGTCTGTGAGATTGTTTCCGGATGAGATTAGCATTTGAATCAGTACACTAGGTAAAGAACTTTGCCCTCAGCAATGTAGATGGACATTATCTAATCCATTGAGGGTCTGAATAGATCAGAAAGGCAGAGAGAGTGCAAATTCTCTCTCTTTCCTTGAGCTGAGCATCCTTCTTTTCTTCTTCGACATCAGAGTTCTCCTGGTTCTTAGGTCTTCAAACTCTGGGTCCTATAATAGCTGGTACCCTCCCCTCAGGCCCCTGGCCTTTGGAATTAAAAGTTCTGATTCTCTGAGAAGCCCTGACTAATACAATCTTTCATTAGCTATGTGATTTGCAAATATTTACTCCCATCCTGTGTCTTATCTTTTCATCCTTTTTTTTTTTTCTTTTTAGTGACAGGGTCTTGTTCTGTCACCCAGGTTGGAATGCAGTGGCATAATCATAGCTCACTGTAGCCTCAAACTCTTGGGCTCCAACAATCCTCCTACCACAGTCTCCTGAATAGGTGGGACTACAGGTATTCTACAATGCCCAGCTAATTTTTTTTTAGAGGCGGGGTCTTGCTATGTTGTCCAGGCTGGTCTTGAACACCTGAATTCAAGCAATCCTTCCACCTCAGCCTCCAATGGAGGGCAATGGTGGGATCTCAGCTCACTGCAGCCTCCACCTCCCGGGTGCAAGTGATTCTCCTGCCTCATCCTCCTAAGTAGCTGGGTCTACAGGCACGTGCTACCACGCCCAGCTAATTTTTGTGTTTTTTTAGTAGAGTTGGGGTTTCACCATGTTAGCCAGGCTGGTCTCGAACTCCTGACCTCAAGTGATTATGCGCATGACTCAGCCTCCCAAAGTGCTGGGATTGCAGGCCTAAACCACCACACCTGGCCAACAGTGCCTTTTATAGAGCTAAAGTTTAATAAAGTTCAACTATCAATCTTTTAAAATTATGTTTTTGGTATTGTATCTAAAAACTAGTCAGCACATCCAAAGTCAAGTAGATTTCTCCTATGCTTTCTTCTAGCAGTTTTATTGTTTTGTGTTATATGTTAAGTCTATGATCTATTTTGACTTCATATTAATTTTCATGTAAGCTGTAAGGCCTATGTTAAGGATTTTTTTCTTTGTCTATAAACATCTAACTGTTCCAGCATCTTTGTCAAAAATGAGTTGACTGTATTTGTGTGGATAGCTTTCTGGGCCTTCCATTCTGTTCCATTGATCTATGTGTCTGTATTTTTGACCACACTGTCTTTGATTACTGTAGTTTTATAGTAAGTCTTAAAATCGGGCAGTGTGAGTCCTCCAACTTGGTTGTTTTTCACAATATTGTTGGCTGTTCTGTACTTTGCCATCCCATGTAAAAAAAAAAATTTTTTTTTTTTTTTTTTTTTTCTTTTGAGACAGAGTCTCGCTCTGTTGCCCAGGCTGGAGTGCAGTGGCACGATCTCTGCTCACTTCAACCTCCACCTCCAGGCTTCAAATGATTCTCGTGAGTCAGCTTGCAAAGTAGCTGGAATTACAAGCGTGTACCACCATGCCTGGCTAATTTTTGGATATTTTTCATAGAGAGGGGGTTTTGCCACGTTGGCCAGGCTATTTAGTTGTTTGAGTTTCTTATACGTTTTGAATATTAACCCCTTATGAGATGTATGGTTTATAAATGCAGGATGTTCTTCCATTCCATAGTTGTCTCTTCATTCTCTCCATGATTTAGATCTTTGATTTCTTTTGTTTTTGTTTTTTAGTTCTCTGCATACAGATGCTGTATATATTTTGTTTGATTTATATCTCAGTAGTTCATCTTGGGGGATGCTATTTCAAAAGGTATTTAGTTTATTAAATTTACAATTCTATTTGTTTATTACTGGCATATAAGAAGGTAATTGACTTTTGTATATTAATCTTGTGTCCTATGACCTTGCTAAATTCTCTTATTTGTTCCAGAAGTTTTTCTTTTGTTTGTTTGGTAGATCTTTTGGGATTTTCTATGTAGACAGCCACATCATACATGAATAAAGACAGTTTTGTTCCTTCCTTTTCAAACTGTATACTATTTATTTCATTTCCTAGCAGTACCTAGGACTTCCAGTATGATGGTGAAGAGAAATGATGTGGGAGGGCATCCTTATCTTTTTCTCAATTTTATTAGGAAAACATTCATTCATTTACATTAAATATGATGCTACATATTGGTTTCTTGTATATATCCTTATTAGGTTAAGAAATTTCCCTTATATTCTTAATATTTTTGGAGTTTTAAAATCTTGAATGAGCAATGCACTTTGTCAAATGCTTTTTGTGTATATATTGATGCGATCATATGCTTTTCTTAGTCTATTAATATGATGTATTACACATTGATTGATTTATAAATATTGATCTGGCCTTCTCTTCCTGGAATGAACCTCATTTAATTGTGATATATTATTATCCTTCTTAAATATTGCTGGATCCAATTTGTTGATACTTTATTAAGGATTTTTACAGTTATGTTTATGAGAGATATTTGTAGCTCTTTTTTCTTTTAATGTCTTTATCTGATTTTGGCATTAGAGTAATTCTAACCTCATAAAATGAGTTGGGAAGTGTTCCTTTCTCTTTTGTCTTCTGGAAGATATTATATAAAATTGGTATTACTTCTTCCTTAAATGTTTGGCAGATTTCATCAATGAAACCGTATTGTTCTGTTATTTCCTTTTATAGATGGATTTTAACTACCAAATGAATTGGTTTAATAGGCATAGAACAATCTAAGTTATCTCTGGTTCTCCTTAAGTAAGTTTTGGTAGTTTGTGTCTTTCAAGGAATTGGCTAATTTGATCTAAATTATCAAATTTATGGGAATAGGGTTGTCCACAGTAACAACTCATCATCGTTTCAGTTTCTGTGGGATCAATGGTAATGACCCCTCTTTTTTCCTCAGTGTTAGTAATTTGTGTCTTCTCACTTGCTTTTCCTTGGTTAGCGTGGCTAGGGGCTTATCAATTTTATTAATATTTATAAAGAACTAGCTTTTGGCTTTTATTGCTTTTCTCTATTGTTTTTCTGTTTTTAATATCACTGATTTCTGCTCTAATTTTTATTATTTTCTTTCTCCTATTGTCTCAATTTTAACTTTCCATTCTTTATTTAGTTTACTAAGGTAGAAGTTTAGGCTACTGATTCTGGAATTTCTTCTTTTCTAACACACATTGGATGCTATAAATTTCCTTTTATGCACTACATTAGCTAAATAACACAAAGTTTTCTAATTTTTATTTTCATTTAGTTCAAAATATTTTCTAATTTCTCTTGAGACTTCTTTTTTGAACCATGGTTTATTTAAAGGTGTACTGTTTAATTTCCTACTATAGTCAGCTTTCTGTTTTTGATTTCTAGTTTAATTCCTTTGTGATCTAAGAACGTAATTTGTATGATTTCTATTCTTTTTAATTTGTGAAGGTGTGTTTGATGGTCCTGAATGTGGTCTGTCTTGGTGAACATTCCATGAGTGTTTGAGAAGAATGTGCATTCCGCTGTTATTGGATGAAATACTCTATAAATGTTAATTAGATCAAGTTAATTAATAGTGCTGTGCAGGTCATCTGTATCCTTACTGATTTTCTGCCTGTTTGATCTATTAATTACTGAAAGAGGGGTATTGAAGTCTCCAACTGTAATTGTGGATTTGCCTATTTCTCTTTTCAGTTCTGTCTATTTCATGTCATGAATTTTGACACTTGTTGTTAGGAGCTTAAGATGATTATGACTACTTGGATAATTGACTCCTTTATAATTATAGAATGACCCTCATTAGTTCTGATACTCTTTCTTATTCTAAAGTCCGCTTTGTCTAAAATGAATATATTAATAGCTACTCCAGTATCCTTTTGATTAGTGTGAGTATACTATCCCCTTACTTAAAAAATTGAGATATAGTTCACATACCATAAAATTCACCCTTCCCAAGTGTACAGTTCTGTGCTGATTAGTGTATTCACAAAGATGTGAAATTATCGCTGGGCACAGCGGCTTATGCCTGTAATCCCAGAACTTTGGGAGGCCAAGGCAGGTGGATCACTTGAGGTCTGACCAACATGGTGAAACCCTGTCTCTACTAAAAATACAAAAATTAGCCAGGCTTGGTGGTGGGTGCCTGTAGTCCCAGCTACTCAGGAGGCTGAGGCAAGAGAATCAATTGCTTGAACCCAGGAGGCAGAGGTTGCAGTGAGCTGAGATCATGCCACTGCACTTCAGCCTGGGCAACAGAGCAAGACACCATCTCAAAAAAGAAAAAAAAAAGATGTGAAATTATCAACAAGAATTCCAGAAACATATAATTACCCTACAAAGAAATGCACACCCGTTAGCAATTACTTCCCATTCCCCCTCCCTGGAGAACCTGGCAACCACCAATCTACTTTATGTCTCTATGAATTTTCCTGTTCTGGACATTTCATATAAATGGAATCATATAATGTGATTCTATATTGTGTCTGGCTTTTTTCACTTGGTATAATGTTTTCAGAGTTCATCCATGTTCATCCAAGCAATCCTCCTGCCCCAGCCTCCTCTGTAGCTGGGACTATAGGTGCGTGCTACTGCGGCCATGTATCACTACTTCATTCCTTTTTATGACTGGATAATATTCCATTGTATGATGTCATATTTTATTGCATCATCCCATTTTTTTAATCAGTTGATGGACATTAGGGTTATTTTCATCTTTTGGCTCTGATGAACAAAGCTGCTATGAACATTGATGTATGAGTTTTTGTGTGGATATATGTTTTCAAATCCCTTAGGTAAATACCTAAAAGTGGAATTGTTGAGTCATATGGTAACTGTATATTTAGCATATCAAAGAATCACCAAACTGTTTAACAAAGCAGATGCACAAAGCGGATTTCATATAAGTGGACTTATACACGTTTTGTCCTTTTGTATCAGCCTTATTTCACTTAACATAATAATGTTTACGAGATTGATCCTTTTGCAGCATCTATCAGAACTTTATTCTTTTCTATGGCTGAATAATATTCTATGATATGTATATACCACATTTTGTTGAGTAATTTTTCTGTTGATGGACACTTGATTTTTCACGACAGCCAAAACATCTTTTGGCTATTGTGAAGAATGTTGCAATGAACATTGGCATGCAAGCATCATAGTCCCTGTTTTCAATTCTTTGCACTGTAAAGCTAGGAGTGGAATTGCTGGATCATATGCAATTCTATGTTTAGCTTTTTGAGAAACTGGAAAACTTTTCTACAGTGGCCGCACCCTTTTACTTTCTCACTATCAGTGAACAAGGGTTCCAATCTCTCCACATCATTGCCATTTCTTTTTTTTTTTTTTTAGTTGTTATTTGTAAATAGCCATCCTCTTAGGTATGAAGTGGTTTTGATTTTGTGTTTCCTAAATTACTAATGATGTTGAGCATATTTTCTTGTGCTTATTGGACATTTGTGTATCTTCTCCGGGAAAATGCTTATTCAAGTCCTCTTCCCATTTTTTAATTGGGTTGTTTGTCTCTTTAATTGTTGAGTTGTAGGAGCTCTTAATATATTCTAATAATTATATTATTAGATATATAATTTGCAAGTATTTTCTCCCATCGCATAGGTTGTCTTTTCACTCTCTTGATGATAACATTGGATGCACCAAAGTTTTTAATTTTAATTAATTTATTTGTTCTTTTATTGCTCATGCTTTTGCAACCCCTGCCAAATCCAAGGTTGTGAAGGTTTACAACTATGCTTTCTTCTAATAATTTTATGATTTTAGCTTTTACATTCAGGCTCTGATGGATTTTGGGTCAATTTTTACATATGGAGTGATGTAGGAATCCAACTTCATTTCTTTTGTTCATGGACATCCTGTTGTCTCAGCACAACCTGTTGAAGAGGCTATTCTTTCCACACTGACTGGACTTAACACCCTGGCCCTATACTTTATGGGGTTATTTCTGGACTTTCAATTCTATTGCACTGGTCTATATGTCTATATATTGGTTTATATAACCTTATGTCATTATCATACTGTGTTAATTACTATAGCTTTATCCTAAGTTTTGAAATTGAGAGTGTGAGTCCTCCTACTTTGTACTTCTTTCTACATGTCTCCATATAAGAGGGAGACAGAGGGAGATTTGATACACAGAAGAGGAGGAGGTGACATGACCAGACAGGAAGAGATTGGAGTGATTTGGCTACAAACCAAGGAATGCCAGCAGCTACTAGAAGCTGGGAGAGGCAAGGAAGGGATTCTCCCTTATAGAGCCTTAAGAGGGAGCACAGCCCCGCCAACACCTTGGTATCGGCCCAGTGATTCTAATTTTGGATTTCTGGCCTCCAGAACATTAACAGAATAAAATTCTGTTGTTTTTAGCCACCCACCCTGTCCTAATTTGTTACAGCAGCCTTGGGGAACTAACACAGATTGAGTATGTCTTGCCTAAAATATTTAGGACCACAAGTGTTCTAGATTTTATTTTTTTTTATTTGGGCATGTCTGCATATACATAATGACATATCTTGGAGGTGGGACCCAAGTCTAAACACAAAATTCATTTATGTTTCATACACACCTTACACACATAGCCTGAAGATAATTTTATACTATGTGATATGGTTTGGCTGTGTCCCACCCACACCCCAAATCTCGTCTTGAATTCCCACGTGTTGTGGGAGGTACCTAGTAGGAGGTAATTGAATTATGGGGGCAGGTCTTTCCCATGCTGTTCTCGTGATAGTGAATAAATCTCATGAGATCTGATGGTTTTAACAAGGGGAGTTTCCCTGTGAGAGCTCTCTCTGCCTGCTGCCATCCATGTAAGACATGACTTGCTTCTCCTTGCCTTCCACCATGATTGTGAGGCTTCCCCAGCCACGTGGAACTGTAAGTCCAATTAAACTTCTTTCTTTTGTAAATTGCCCAGTCTTGGGTATATCTTTATCAGCAGCATGAAAATGGACTAATACTATGTACTATGCATATAAAATTATAGTGTATAATTTTATACTATGTGTATAAAATACACACATATACTCTGTGTGTGTGTGTGTGTGTGTGTGTGTGTGTGTGTAAAATATATATAGAGATGGAGTGTTGTTATGTTGCCCAGGCTGGCCTTGAACTGCTGGGATCAAGCAATCCTCCTGCCCTAGCCTCCTAAGTAGCTGGGACTACAGGTGCATGCCAATGCAACAAGCTATACAGTATTTTAAAAATTTTGTGCATGAAACAAATTTTTGACTGTGTTTTGCCTGCAGACCATCCCATGAGATCAGGTGTAGAATTTTCCACTTGTGTTGTCATGTTGGCCCTCAAAAACTTTCAGATTTTGGAGCATTTCAAATTTCAGATTTTCAGATTAGGGATGCTCAGCCTCTATAGCTTGCTTTGTAAATTTTTGCTGAAAGCTGGACATGTTGAATAAGAAAATAAACACTGAGGTAAATAGACCTTTAGTGTGAGGATTGATGTTAATCTAGCTAGGAGTTGGGCAGCATTTAATGCTTGTTGTAGTTATAGGCACCAGGGACTTCCAATTCATTTAATGTCCTTATTTTCTCCTCTCTTGGCTCTGGAGCTTTCCTTTATACAGCTCCTCAGAGAGTCTGTGTCTTGTAGCTGTAAGTCACTGTACTCTACTGGAGCCTTATTGGTATGTGCTAGAGTGTGGGGGACGGAGGGCATTCCCTAATCCTCTAATTAAGTCTCAATCTGGGGCCTCTTGCTTCAGGAGTGTGGACTTTAGAAGTGTTTTTCTTCTTCCTGCAGGGGTAGAGCTCCCTCCCCTGCCACCACTTTTTTCCTCCCTAGATGGGACAGGAAGTCTGGAGAGGCCTGGAGTGATGCAGAGCTCCTTTAGCCTAGCTAAGATAGAGTTTCAGAAGTGCCCTCTGCCAAAGTCCTTCCCTCTGGCAATGAGGGAAGAGATCCTGGGAGGGTTTCACCATAGCTTTCATTGCATCTCCCTGCTCGGGCCACGTGGGGACCTTTCTCATTGGAACTTGGTGAGCTTTCTGGAGGAAAAACCTGCAAGAGTGTGAGGTCTTCCCTCTCATGCTTCTCCCTCCCATGCTAGTCTGCACGTAGCCTTGGCAATTCATCAGAATTACTGTGTAAGCATTCCCACTGGCTGACTTAGGCCTTGCTGCAGGGAAGCAGAACTTTGGGCTCACATCTATCTGGACTCATCTGATTCTCCAGATTTTTAGGTGGTAGTTTGCTCTGCAACCTCAGTTTTCTAATGGGCTCAAGGAAAGTCATTGATTTTCAGCATATCCAGCATTTTCTTGTTGTAAGGTCAGGAGTAACGACTTCCAAGTTCTTTGCATGTCAGAGTTGAAACCAAAAGTCCCCACTGTGGGGACTTTTAATATCAATCTACTACAGCAAGTAAGAAATATTAAAAGTCACAAAACCATAGGACTATAATCTTGGAATCAAAAAGACTTTGGCACGTAGAGTCATAGAGTTTTACAACTGGAGAATCGTAAATTCTAAGAAGAAAAGTCCCCCAGATTGAAAATCTCCGTGGACTCACCACTATTTATAGGACGACATGACATAAAACGATTTTTATGCTCTGACCCGTTCCATCTCTCCAGCCTCATTTCTCACCACTTATCTCACCTCCTGCCCAAATCCTATTCTCCCTCCCACTCCCCAGCAAACAAATTCCACCCAGGGCTGCAGCCTTGTCCTAACCTACTTCGTATTCTCTGCTGCACCTTGAATATTGCCTGGAACCTAGCAAACCCTCAATGATCATTTGTTAACCTAATGAATAAATAAAATGGTAAAACTCTCTGCACGGTGTGTAGCACACAGAAGTATTAACAGTGACCTACCTCTATCATCCACCTGATTTTTGCCTCATACTCTTCTAAGCATGTCACGTGTATTCATTTTATTTTCATAACCTTATGTGATAGGTGCTATTATGATTCCCATTTTAAAGATGAGGGAAGTGAGGCACAGAGAGGTTAGCAGTTTGCTCAAGGTTACTCAGCTGATAGGCAGCAAACTGTCATAAATAGGTTGTAATTAGCATGAGGCTTCTATTATTTTCCAGGCACTGTGCTAATGCTGGATGCATTGGGTGCGTAATCTCTCATTTCATAATAACTCCCATGTAATGCATGAAGAAATGGAAGTTTAGAGGGGTTAGGTGACGTGTCCAGGGTCACACAGGTAGTAAAAGCTGGAACTAAAATTCGCACCAGGTCTGCCTGCTGTACATCCCACAATTTTTACTATTCTTCGAGCGGCTTCTGCTGGTTGTATGGAAGGTGACACCTTTGCCCCCTTGTCAAGCCATCCAACTCCTCTTCCTTCAAGACATAGCTCAATGATCCCTTGTCTATGAAGCCTTCCCTGGCCTCTTCCCCACCCCACCCCCAGCTGCTGCAGCCAGCCTTCCTTCTCTGAGCCTCCATATCCCACCCACCTGCCCTTCACACCCCAGTGGAGCCCAACGGTTAGAAATTCAGGCTCTCCTGGTGGTCTTAGGTTCAAATTCTGGTTCTGCTGGGTGGACCTTGATTCACCCTTTGTGTGACCATTTGAGCTTTGATTTTTTTTCCATCTGTAAAATGGAGATAAGAAAATCAGTTTGCACAGGGGGCTGGGTGAAAGGTGCATAAATCTTAGCCAAATGCTTACTGAAGCATATACTACACTGTATTATAATGATCTGTGTAAATGTTCATCTCCATATCTTGAGGGCAGGAACTGATACTGATTCTGATGTATCTCTTTGCCCCTAGCACCCAGTATGGCTTAAAATAGGTATTAAATAAATGTGGAGTAAATGAATAAAAAATGAAATAAATGGATCTTAGAATCCTATTCTCATAATTTGATACATAAAACCTAAGGACCTCATGTCACATAACTGCAAAGTTTGAAGGATCTTAGAGATCAACTTCCGGAGGTGTTCAATCTTTTTGACTATCACCCACACTTAGTAATATACTTTATATTGCCACCTAGTGAGTGCACACACGCGCACACACACACACAAACACGGACGCGCACACACACACACCCCGAAAGTTTCAGTGGACAGTTCTTGCCTTTCCTATGTGGGATAAACTCACATAATTCCTCTTCTTTTCTCTTTCCTCGCCTCACCTCCCCTTCTATCTTCTAACTTTTCCCTTCTCCTCCTTTCCTTCTTTTCTTTCCTCTCTCTTCTATCTTTTCCGTTAAAAAAAATTGCTAGTTTAGGTCCGCTAAATCGATTTCATGCCCCATGAAGGCATTGTGACCTATGGTTTGAAAATCACTTATCTAGTCGAATTAGACTCCTTGTCCAGCATCTCTAACTGGAGTTCTATACTTATACTTCCCTGATGAAAGGAAGTTCCCCCAAAAGATAAACAGTTTTGTTACTGGACAGCATTTATTGTTAGAAAGTTCTTCCTTCTCTTAAGCAGAAATGAGCCTCTTATAACTTCCTTATTGGTCTTAGTTGTTCCTATCTAGCTTGCTGGTCTCTCTGTAAGTTATCAAGCAAATCACCTCATCTCATTGAGTTTTCTTTTCTTCTCCTCTTCCTACAGATGTGCCCCACCTAAGTGCTGACAGCCTAAAAGTCCACCATTAAAGCCATTCTTCGGGTTTAAGGCATTGATCTTCACCATCATCTCCCATTATTATATCTGCTTGCTCTCATGGAGACAGGGGTCACTGGGGCCAGTCCACCTGTAGTGGCTGAAGTCTTCATCTCCTGCAGCAGAGAAGTTTGTTGGGACTATGTAAAATATCAAAAGAGGGTTTCTTTAACCCTTAAATCTCTTTTGCTTGTTTTCTTTCCTCAATGGCTTGGATCTTCCCAGTGAGATGCTCAGTGGGGTTAGCAAATAGCATTTTGGAAATCACAACCAATATTGAAGGGTGAAATGGTATGTTAGCCTTTAACACCTTAGTCTAAATTTTCCCCTGCCAGTCTCTTCCATCACTCTAAGATCAGCCAGGAGAGGGGAATTCTAATGCTAGCCCTCTATAGGGTCTCCTCAGGCAAGAGGCAGTAACCAGCCTTCACTCCAAGGTAAGTGTCAGATTCCTAGGACTGAAAGATTCCCTTGGCCCTATACATCCAAACTCTCTCTTCATTCATTCATCGAACAAGTATTTGTTGAGCATCTTCTGTGTGCTACACCTTGTGCTAGGTGTTGCGGATACCATGGAGACCAAGAGAGTCCCCATTCCTGGCCTCCACGGTGCACGCAGTCTAGCAGTAGTGACAATCACCAATGGTAAGAAGGTGCTCTGCTAAGGTCAGGAGTTGAGGGAGCTTGGAGCAGGGTCTCAGCTCACTGTGTGCTGGAGTCAAGGGAAGGCCTCCTGGGGGCGGACATTTGAGCTGAGACCTGAAGGACAAGGAGCATATGGCTGAGTAGTTCATCTCTCCCTGGCTTCCCTCCTTCTCCCCAGCCCCCAATCCAGGCAGCATCAATGCCCCCATCAAGTCATCTTCCTGAACTCATCTGGGTCACTAGCTTAAATCAGCAGTTCTCAAGTTTTAACTCAGTCAGAATGCTGTTTTGTTTAGTTTGTTTAACTGCAGATTTTAGGACCTCTGTAGGATTCTACATCTGGGGTAGGACTGTGTCTGCATGTCAGTCCATGGCTCATATCTTCGGAAATCCTGGTCTATATCAGAATTCCACGGTTTTGGTATTTGCCCTTGACTATTTGTTCAGCTTCTGAAGGAAAGAGGAAAAGGAAGTTCAGGAATGCCAAGGTTGTCTTTCTGGGATTGCAGAGTCTGGGGAGGCATTGGGAGGGTGGCGTTGGTGACAGCAGGGACTGGGGAGTCCTCAGAGGGGTCCAGCAAGGGCCCTCAGTCCTGGCACCCAACAACCTGAGGGACCTCCCAACAGCCAAATCGTGCTCCTGCCTCACCTCACAGCAGTAGACCAACGGCACATGGTAGCACTGGCCACATAATTAGCAGAGCATGTCCCAGAATAATTAAACGTTTCAAAACAGTAACAGCAGAGCAGTAAATCAAGTGCGGGTTCCTCTCAGAGTGGGGCCCTGTGCAATGCAGGGATCAGATAGCCAGCAGGCTCAGCAGTGGGGTGAGTGGAGCCCCGGCCCAGACTAAAACTCCTGGGTACAGGAAATGAAACCAAGCCTGTGAATATTCAAAGAAGAAGGATCCTTAGAGATCACCTGGCTCAGTTCCCTTCATGTCCAGTTGTAGAACCCAAAGCCCAGAGAGATGGCCCAAGCTGACCCTGCAAATTGGTGGCAGAGCCAGATCAGAATCCCAGCCCTGGGACTCTCCTTCCCCCTCTCCCTCTCCCCCAATCTCTTCTTTCCTGAGGTGGTCTCATCCTATGCAATGTCCATGTGGAAACCATCCACATGTTGACAGCTTGCAAATATCTATCCCCCATCTCCATCACCTATCTCTCCCCCAGCTCCAGAGTCCTGTGTCCAGCCATCCCTAACTGCAGTGGCCTCTTGCTTCCTCTTCTCCCCTGCTTCCTTCCTTACCCACCTCCAGCCTGTCCCTCCTCCAACACACACATACACACAGCCACCAGAGTGTGAGTTTCCAATCTGTGACCTGGATCCTGCTCCGGTACTGCTCTCTGCCCAAGGCACTGCACACAGATTACACTCTAACCTCATCAGCACAGCCTCCAAGATCAAGTCCTGCAGTTTCTCCCATGACCATCTGTTCCCTCACTCTGCTCCCACCACAGTGACCTTGCTGTGGCTCACATATGCCCAGCTCATGCCTGCCCTGCAAGTGTATTCCTCTCTCTGGAACATTCTTCTCCTAGAACTCCCTATGACTTCCACTTCCTTCATTCAGGTCTCAGCTCATAGGCCCCTCCCCAGAGAAGGCTTCCTGTGCACACGGTCCAAAATATACGCAGCTACTGTCTATCCCCTGACTTCTTTTTCTTCATACCAGTTAACCTCCCTGGAATTATACTGCCTAGGTATTCCTTTATTTTTACTATCTTGCTCACTGCTCACTTGCTCAGTGCCCCAAATGATGCCTGCCACATAATTGACACTCTATAAAGAATTGCAGGAATAAGTAAATCAATAACGAAACACATTTATTTAACACATGCATGTTCAGGGGCTATTCAGTGTTAGGGGCTGTGTGAGGCACTGAGGTCTCAGACATGGAGCAAGTGGACAAGGAAGGGTTCCTGTCCTCAAGGAGGCTGATCATCGTCTTGGGGAGACACGGACTTGTGTTCGCAGGAGGCTCAGAGTGACATGTGCAGCTTGTCAAGGGTAAGTCTAAGAAGATGGGGTGAGGGTAAAAGATCCATGGGTCCTTGCAGCAAGGAGTTGGATTTTAGGGTCATTGATGTCCTTTTTTTTTTTTTTTTTTTGAGACAGAGTCTCTCTCTGTCCCCAGGCTGGAGTGCACTGGCGCGATCTCAGCTCACTGCAACCTTTGCCTCCTGGGTTCAAGCGATTCTCTTGCCTCAGCCTCCTGAGTAACTAGGATTACAGGCGCATGCCTCCGCGCACAGCTAATTTTTGTATTTTTAGTAGAGACAGGGTTTCTCCATGTTGGTCAGGCTGGTCTCGAACTCCTGACCTCATGATCCGCCTTCCTTGGCCTCCCAAAATGCTGGGATTACAGGCATGAGCCACTGCACCTGGCCCAGTGTCCCTTTTCTGAAGAGCTAGCAACTCTCTGTCCTCTCTGGGCCCTCAGCCTGTTAGGCCAGCACAGGGGCCCATATTCATGATGAGGGCTCTTGGGTCCCCAGCTCCTATAAAAGGTTGTGCTTATAGAGTACGTGACAGCCAGTTCTTGCCGGTGCTAGAATAAGGAAGGAGACTGACGTGACTCTACTCAGAGGAAGCCAAGCCTTACCCAGTGGACGCATGGCCCAGCCTGGGCTAGCCCTGTGGGTACTTTGGCATTCCTCAGGCCACTCCTTGGAGAACCTCATCTTCTCCACTTCCCCTTCAGCCTTCCAGCCCCACAAGGCAGGCTGCCCATGGCTGCCCACCCACTGCAGCTTAGCCCTAGTGTTGCCAGTCTTCTCCTTCTGTGTAGATGGTGTGATTAAGCTGGAGGGCTGAGACAGGAGCCCTGAAGGAAGCCCACTTCCTCCAGGAAGGCTTCTCTGCTTTCTCAGTGGGATTGCTTCCTTCTGTCCCTTGCCCTGTAGCACATACCTTCCTCTTAGTCTGTTTATCCATGGATCCACCCATCCATCCACCCATCCATCCATCCACCCACCCATCCATCCATCCAACAAACATTCATCCGGCACTTATTTACACTAGTGACCAAGGACATGGTCCCTGTCCTCCAGAGCCTACAGTCTAATAAGGGAAAGAGTTATTATGCAACTAGTTTCAAGTTAACAGTTTAATTATAACTGTGATAAATGCTCTGCAAGAGAAGTATTTGAACCCACAGGGAGACATTAGGGTAGAAAAGACTTCCCTGATGAAGAATGTTTCACCCAAGACCTCACTGTCGACTATGGTAGCCAGTAGCCACACGTGACTATTGAGTGTCTGAAATGTGGCTAGTGTCACCAAGGAACTGAGGGTAGATGAATAATTTTACCAAACTTTATAAAGTAACTATTCTGTGTCAGGCCCTGCCCAGTCCAAACTAGTCTGGTTGAAAATGCCAACATTACATCTAGTTCAGCGTCCACTTCCTTCTCTCACCCCAGCCCACTGCTGCCTCCAAGTCCCTGCTGAGGGATCTGGAAGGGATGGAGGTGAAGCATTCTTTTGTCCCTCCTCCTTTCCCTGAATTGGGTCTGTCTATCATCTGGTGTGTTAGGGCCTGGGAAGGGAGATGGAAAAAGAGGGACTTCTTTTACCCAGCAATGCTCTGTTCACTATGGCTGGACTCTGGAAGCCAGCTGCCTCCTAGGGCACAGGTGTGGATTCCTAGGAGGATCCTGAATGTGTGCATGTGTGCATGCATGTGCACGTGTGTGTGCCCATGTGTGTATGCTGTGGGGGTACACAGTCTGCTGCACAGTCTCTTTTATGCATGATCTGATCCAGGTTCACAGCTCCCCGCTGGAGTCCATGCTGCAGTCTCTTACTCCTAGGCCCTCTTGCCAGTGGTCATCTCTCTTGAGTGGGATGCTCTAAGGTCGGCTCCCCCCTTTCAATGAGGGTCTCTCCATGGACCTCACCCCCTTGCCACTCTGCATGGAGGAAGCTTGAGCTGCTGCCCTGCCACCCCGTCACTCTACCCTGCTGTCTCTTTTCAGTTCCTTTTTCTCCTGCTCAGGGCAACATCAAGGTGGATCAGCAAATCCACTGTTGCTTCAGGAGACACCTGGAAAAAGAAAAGCCAGCCTCCTCCTCCTGCAGGCACGTAATATCTAGGAGTCATTTTGGGGTGCCTTGCTTGGCTGAGTAGTGGTGGGGGGTTGTGAGGTCAGGGGAGTTTCCATAACAGCCTCACCCAGGCTAGAAAACTCCTCTCTAGCCTCTCCCTCCACTTTAGCTGAGCGTACAGACCCCAAAGAGATGGGATGGCTGGGGAGCAGGCTGGGCTTGGCTGCTTTGTAATCAGTCTTGAGAACATACCTGGCCCCAAAGGTTCATTTGTTATTAGCGAGTATCTATTCTGTGCCCAGCACTGTGTGGCTGCTGGTTACAGCCATGAACAAAAAGCAGTAGTCTTCAGGGCAAATCATTTGTTTTTCATGAGGGAAATGGATAAAAACGAGTAATATACATCAGGGCTAACCATTGGAAAGCCCAGTAACGTAGGGTAAGGAAATGGAGAGAGACCAAAGGGAGAGGTTGTTTTCATAGGGAGGTCAGGGAAACTGGTGGCTGTGTTTCAAACTCATGTTTCCCCAACGTGGAGCCTAGTAGACAGTTCTGGGCCATGGGAAATCCGTGCCACCATTGTCCAAGCCCAGTTAAGCTGTGAGGCAAGGGTTGGGTTTCAAAGTCTAGGGTCTTTCTTGGTTGCACGTGGTTGTGTATGTCAAGGCTCACTTCTCAACCCTCTGGGCCCATATCTGATCCATTCTGCATTCCCAGAAGCCGTGTCTGGGCCTGGGACAGGGCAGGCTCTTGATGCTGCTTGTTCAGCATGGAGGAGCCTCCAGGACAAGGGACATCAAGGCTCAGCCTATCAGAGGCCAGCTCTGTGGCTTGAAGCTTGAGGCAGAGCTCAGCCGCTTTCTGGTTTTGCTCATGGGGAATCAGGGACAGTCGGAACCCATTAAAAGGCTCCAGATGCCTCCCTGGTTAGACACCTCAGGCCTGAAGGTTTGCAGCTTGGAAGGAGGCCGTGGCCACAGTGACCACTTCCCTCACTGTGGCTCAGGCCTCTGTTCCAGGCATGGCAGAGAATGGGGTGGGGTAGGCAGCTGGGAAGTATAAGGCCTGCTCCAGGCTGTCAGAGGCTGGTCAGTGGCTCCTGGGCTCTTTCAGGGCCTTATCCAGTGGTTGCCACCAGGAACAGACCAGGAGCACTGTGAGTCTCTCACCATGGCTACCACACCTGGGCGGGCCCTGGGCTCCCTCCTGCCCACCCTTCTGCTGGGACTCACAGGTGAGTCCTGATTCCTGCCCAGAGAGACCCTCAGGGCAGGCAAGGAGACCCCCAGGAATGACCAAATCCAGCCACTGTGTCTTTCTGAAGGAAGACTGAGGCTCAGAGGAGGTGACTGAGCTGTTTTCCTGCCAGTCAGGTGCTGTTTTGCATCTTTTCTTCAATGTAGACCTTGCGGACAAAGGGAGCTGGTGGGAGCTTGGGGGTCAGAAGAGGAAGTGACCTAAGGGTGAGGGGCTCGGGGGAGGTCAGGGGGTAAAAGAGGAGCCCACCTCCCAGTTTTCCCGATGTCAGCTCTAGTCTGGGTGGCTACCTGTTCTGGGTCAGAGAGGGTGTAAGGGTGGAAAAGACAGAGCGAGAGAAAGAAAGAGAGAGAGAGAAAAAAAAGAGAGAGAGAGAAGTCGCCAGAGTGATGGAGCCTCCGGCATTGGAGGCATGGAAGAGTCCTGGACCCAAAGTCAGACAGGCCTTCTTACCCTCCCTCTTTAGTCACTGATAGGCTGTGTGACCTTGAGCAAGTCACGAGACCTTTCTGAATCTCTGTTTCCTTTTCTGGAAAGTGAGGACAATAATACCAGCCTCCCACAGCTGAGATGTGGAAGAAAAGAAGCACACATGGCTGAAAATGTTTTCTGAACCACACGGTGCTGTGTGCAGGGTGGGTGATGAGGGCAGAGCACAGTCCAGAAGGTACCAGAGCTGTGTGCTAAGAGGACAAGTTCCTATGGCCTCCTGCGCTGCCCTCTGCCTGTCATCCTGCTTGTCATTGGTTGTTTATTTGCCTTTCACCCCCATCTGACCAGATGCTTCTCAAGGGTGGGGGTCCTGTCTGACTCATCTCTGTGGTCTCAGCACCCAGCTCTTGACCTGGTGCAGAGCAGGGGCTTAGGGAATGCTGTGAAGACTTGGGGAGTTTCTTGCTCCAGAGCTCTGCAAGGCTGTCCTTAGAAGGAGGGGTGAGTCTCATCCTGCAGTTTTCCTGGGAAAATTCTGGGAGACAGATCCCAGGTTATATCCCAGAAGCAGGAAATATTTTGTCATAGTCCTAGCTGGGTGTGAGGGTGAATGGAGCTGCTTCTCATGGAGACAGCTCCCTGTCACTGCAGGTAAGCAAGCAGACAACGGGGGTCTAGTGAAGTGTTGATGGGAGGCACCCGAGTAGGGGGGCCAACCATCCCTGTTGGGGTGATTCTTGACTTTACACTCAAGTCCTTATAAACTTACATCCACAATGGAAATCCTGATTCATCACCATTCCCTTCCTATCCCAACTTGGTCCTTCTCCAGATCTTCCCAGCTCAAAAAGTAGAGCTACCACCCACACAGCTGCTCTAGAGAAAACCTGGGAATTGTTGATCCAGAATTCATTCTGTCCCTCACCCCCCATCCCGCCCATCACTGAGTCCTGTGGGCTGTATCTTCCAAATGTGTCTCGAGCCTCCTTTTCTCACCACCCTAGTCCAGGCTACCATCACCTTGGCCTGGAGGTCTGTACCAGCTTCCCCACTGGTCTCCCTGCTTCCATTCCTGCCACGCTCCTTCCCATTCTCCACACAACAACCCCAGTTATCCTCTAAAAAATGTACATCAGACCACTTTGCCCCTCTGTTAAAGTCTCTGCTGGTTTCCCATCACTCTCAGAATAGAATCAAGATCATCACCATGGTCCCCAGGCTCTTCTCACTCTGGACCTCTTTGCCATGACACTAGGGTCCCCTACAGACTTCTCAGTTTCTCAAGCCCACCAAGCCCTTCCTGCCTGAGGTCCTTCTCTCCTGCTGTCCCCGCTGTCTGGAATGTCCTTCCTCTGTCCCTTCCCATTGCTGGCTCCTATTCATTCCTGAGTTTCAGCTCAATGATGTCACCTCCTCAAGTAATTCTTCCCCAGCTGCCCTTCTAGAATAAGTCCTCCCTGTATTCTCCATCTATGCAGTCTTTGGGTTTCCTTGATGGCACTGGGATCAGTCATAATCACATTTGCATTTGCTTGTTTTCTTATGATCAAATGCCGATATGCTGCCTGAAGACAGAATCAGACACAGCATATAGTAGGCCCCCAGGGCCTGACACAGCTCTGGTGCCACTGGTGCCTGTGGGGTGTGTCCCACTCTCAGTGTACAATCACAATTGCTCTTTCCTTAGCTGGACAGCCCTTCATCTCTCTGACTGGTCCATCTCACAGGACAAGCCCTGGAGACTCAGTGCCTTTCAACTGTACTGCTGTCCCCTTCAACTCCCAGGACTTCTCCCGGGACTTCAATGTTACGTGGTTGAAGGACAGTGATGAACATCCAGCCTCAGCTCAGCGCCTGGTGCCTGACAATGGAGGCAATGACTTCATCACCAGCAAGGCATGGGTGACACTGACCCGACAGGATGTCTCATCTGAGATCACCTGCGAAGTCACCCACAGGGCCCTGGCAGAGCCCCTGAAAACAACCATGAATCTCTCCCAAGTGCTCTGAGGTGAATGGGCAGTCAGGTGGGGTGGACATTAACCCTGGAAGCATCCAGCTTTCAGGGTTTTTGCCCAAAGCCTCATTTCATAAATGGGGAAATGAAATTCCTCATGGATTTCTGATCATGTGTATTGTGGTTATAAGCGCAGGTTCCAGGGGCTCGCTGTCTGGGTTTTAATCCTAGCTGTGCCACTTTACAACTTGTGGGATCTTGTGAGTTACTTGACTATTTAATACCAGTTTCTTTATATAACAGGAAAAAAATGAGGACCTACTTCATAGCTGTCCTGTGAAGATTAAATGAATTATTCCTTATAAAACACACATAACAGTGCCTGGCATGCAGTGACTTACTTACGAATGTTTGATCTTGTTATTATCTGGTCCCAGACTCCCTTTCTAAACATCTTTGTTCTATTAATGTCATTGTTACAGTTTTTTTTTTAAATGTTTATTATTCATTTAATAATAATGAATATCCACTGTATGCCAGACCCTGTGCTCAGTGCTGGGGATGCAGCAACGAGCAAAATAAAGTCCCTGTCGTCATGGGCATCACCTTTTACTAATTCTTAAAATTATATTTTCTGATATGAAATATTTCAAAAATACAGAATATAGCAGACACCCAGGTACCCTTACCCATATTTAATGAATATTAACATTTAGCCCTATTTGCTTTACATTACGCATACAAGAAAAAAATATTTCTTTAAAAAAAGGCGAGAGACCTTGAGGCTGTTCCCTGGGAGAGGGAAGCATGGGTGGCCACAGGCAGGGGCTGATTTCACCAGGTCTTACTTCCTATTCCTCTGTCTAGTTGTCCCCACCCTGAAGATCACCACTGAAACCTCTGGGACCCATGTACATGTGCAAGACAGAGTGAATCTCACCTGCCACGTCCTCCACTTCTATCCCGCCCACCTGCGACTCACCTGGATGGAGAACAGGAGCATGATCCAGACCCTGGTGTCCCCTCGTCCCCTCAGGCCACCAGAAATCCAGATGGGACATACTCTCTGGAGCACACGTGGCAGGCAGAGGCCACGCTGGAGGAGCGTGAGTTTGCTTGCTGGGTGGTCCACGATGAGCAGCCCCCACTCAAGGCCAACGTCACCCTGCAAGCCCAGGTGCGCAGGCAGGGGAAAGGTGGGTACAGCCTCTGGCCCAGCCCCTCTGGACATCCCCTGTGGGCAGCACGGCTGGGGAGGGTCAGAGACTCAGGGCGGCATTGGATGATGGTGAAGGAAGGAAGGATACCCGCAGCTGGTGATACAACTCTCACACATTCGCCCCCAGACTCCACTTCTCACGCCTTCCTCCACACCCTCCCCAAGAAGAAAGGGTGGGACTCCCCTTCCCTAATTCCATGCATTCTTGATGTTGAAAGTTCTCCACCTTAACACTTGACTGCAAGAAATGGCAGAGGTTAAGGACTGCTGAGCACCAAAGTGCCTTCTAGAAAGGCTATTAATCAAGACTGGCACAGTTGAAAGTTTCTGGATGGCAACTTTAAACAGAGGCCAGAATTCTGAATTCAGCTGGAAAAGAGGGTCCATGCACGGCCTTACGTAGGGTCAGGGCAGGCCCTTACACGGGGTCAGGACAGACCCTTACATGGGGTCAGGACAGGCCCTTACACGGGGTCAAACAGATCCTCCTCCTCCTTTCCCTTTCCTTTTCCCCCTCACTTTCCTTCTCCTTCCATCCTTCTCTTTTTCCTTGTCCTCTTCACTTTCTCTCTTTTTTGAGTATTTTTATATTATCTTATTATTATTTTTTTAACTTTGGTTTTAGGTCTGGGCCCATGTGCAGGTTTTTACATAGGTAAACTGTGTTGGGGGCAGTTTGGTGTACAGCCTCTGTTATTTTTTGACTTTTTAATAATAGCCATTCTGGCTGGTGTGGGATGGTATCTCATTGTGGTTTTAATTTGCATTTCTTTAATGATTAGCGATGAACATTCTTTCACATGCTTGTTTACCGCGGGTGTGTCTTCTTTTGAAAAGTAGCTGTTCACATCCTTCGCCCACTTTTTAATGGTGTTATTTTTTTACTTGTTAGTTTATTTAAGTTCCTTATAGATTGTGGATCTTCGACCTTTGTCGGATGCGCGCTTTGCGAATATTTTCTCCCATTTTGTGGGTCGTCTGTTGGCCGTGCTGATCGTTTCTCTGGCCCGCCTTGCCGCCTGGAATCTCTGCCTCCGTCTCTCGCTCACTCTTTGCGGCCTCAAACCGTTTTCTCCACAAGAGGGAGCTGTCGGCCGGCAGTTCAGACCCAGAGAGCGCGGGCGGCGCTCCTTCCGCCCGGCTGGGATGAGCTCGGGAGAATGAACTACCGGCCCAGAGGCTGGGATGAGCTCGGGAGAATGAACTACCGGCCCAGAGGCTGGGATGAGCTCGGGAGAATGAACTACCGGCCCAGAGGCTGGGATGAGCTCGGGAGAATGAATTACTGGCCCAGAGTGGGCCGGCTGGGCGGTGGGGGCGCTCAGTGTCCGAGAGGGTGGGTGGAGGTCATTAGGATCGGCCGGGCCTTGTGAGCTAGGGGTAAGCCAGCCTATGGACCCACAGCCCTCCAGAACCACGTGAAGTCAAAAAGGACAGTCCCCTGGGGGCAGTGAGGGTGGATGCCTCGGAGTATTACAGCGCAGGCCGCTGCCAGGGTAAGGGTGCCGGACCGGCAACAACAGCCCATCTTCCCACCAGGGCCCTCCACCTCGCATTCTCTCTCTCCCTGACGGAATTGGCCTCTTATCTGGCTGCTGTAAGAATTCTTAAGAGGAATGATCCCACTCAGCTTTCAGTCTCCCCGTGCCTTTTTGTCTGTTGTCCAGCAGAGAGAAGAAAAACACTCACCCAGCAGGATATACAGGTCTGGCTGAAAAACTCAAAACTGGTCCTTTCTGATCAGAAGCAAGTTACGATACTTCTTTATTGACTCATGCTGGTTTTTTCTTCTTTTATTTTTCTCTTTTGCCTGCATGCGGTATATCTGGCCCACTGCTGCAACATTAACCCCCTGGGAGCATCCTTTTGATTATATGGCTCCGCTATGCAGCTTTGTGGGGCCCCGTGGTCTGCAGGGGGAAGGGCAGCCCCTTCCTTTTCTGGCATTTAGGCCCCTTTCTATTTGGTGTTAACAAAGCATTGCAGCTATCCTTCCCCAACCTGGCCCATAAATGCCTTCATCAGCACCCTCACCTGTTACGAACTCCCCACTCTGTCTCTGTTCCTACTGGGTGACACCCGTAGAGCATTTACTGCACACTAGGCATCCTCAAATACATTATCTGATCCTACAACAGAGCCCAGAGCTAGCACAGGGACCAAGGTCTCAGAGGTTCCAAACAGCATAGCTGGGGTTAGAATGCAGGCGTGTCTGTTCAAAAATTCAATGTGTTTTTCTGCATTTTTCTTTCCTATCCTGCCCGAGAATACAAAGCTTAGTGTTATCTCAAGTCTCTTCTCAAATCTCAATTTTAAATGCTCTATTTCTGATATTTATTTCTTCCTGAATTGTGTGGTCTTATCGGTCCATACCAGTTAGTTCTCACAATTAGTATTTAAACTACAAGGGCGTTCCCAAAGTCCCCCGACCTGGGGTTTTATTCCATTTACACCCATCTTCCGTGATTAGACTCTCACATCCTTGAAGCAGGGACTGGCTCTTATGTTTCGAGGTGGCCAAACGTCGGAGTCAAACAGATCAGTGTCCCCAGCCATGTGACCTAAGACAAAACAACTCCCTTTCTTTTTTTGAGATGGAGTTTTGCTCTTATGGCCCAGGCTGGAGTGCAATGGTGTGATTTCAGTTCACTGCAATCTCTGCCTCTCGGGTTCAAGTGATTCTCCTGCCTCAGCTTCCCAAGTAGCTGGGATTACAGGCACACACCACCATGGCCAGCTAATTTTGTATTTTTAGTAGAGATGGGGTTTCACCGTGTTGGTCAGGCTGGTCTCGAACTCCTGAACTCAGGTGATCCACCTACCTCGGCCTCCCAAAGTGCTGGGTTACAGGCGTGAGCCACCACACCTGGCCGCAACTCCCTTTCTGAGTCAAGTTTTCCATTGTTGTAATGACAATTGTTATACCCACCTCAAAGAGCCCTGCTTAAGATTCCTTTCCTTGACTCCTGCTTGGCATCTGGACAATGGGGCCCATAGCAAGTTCTCTGCAGTGACTGTTTGCAGTTTCCACAGTGCCTAGCCCAGAGCTGAGCTGCAAGTAGGACAATATTAAAGGTCATTGGTTAATATAGAGCCAACTGTGCAGAAGTAGAGGCAGCTATGATGTAACAGAAAAAGGCCTTGGCTTGGAGTCAGAATTCCTGGGTTACAATGTCAGTTCTGTTCACTGTGAGGCCCTTGGATGAGTCACTAACCCTCCCTGAGCCTTTTCTTTATCTGTTAATATTAAAAATATGATTAATAATAATTCCTTGGATGGTCATTGTGAGTATATGGTGCGGAGGGCTACCGTTTATATAGTGATTACTGTGTGCTACATATTCTACACTAGTTACATCACTTAATTTATTAATTAACTCTGAGAGAAATGCAAATCAAAACCACAATTAGATACCATCTCACACCAGTCAGAATGGCAAGTATTAAAAACTCAAGAAATGACAGATGCTGGCAAGGCTGTGGAGCAATAGGAACGCTTTTACACTGTTGGTGGCAATGTAAATTAGTTCAACCATTGTGGAAGACAGTGTGGTGATTCCTCAAGGATCTAGAACCAGAAATACCATTTGACCCAGCGATCCCATTACTGGGTACATACCCAAAGGAATATAAATCATTCTATTACAAAGATACATACATGCGTATGTTCATTGCAGCACTACTCACAATAGCAAAGCAGTAAAATAAATTCCTTGACATGGAATCAATCCAAATGTCCATTGGTGATAGACTGGATAAATAAAATGTGGTACATATACCCCACGGAATACTACGCAGCCATAAAAAGGAATGAGATTGTGTCCTTTGCAGGGATGTGGATAAAGCTGGAAGCCATCATCCTCAGCAAACTAATGCAGGAAGAGAAACTCAAACACTACGTGTTCTCACTCATAAGTGGGAGCTGAACAATGAGAACACATGGACACACGGAGGAGAACAACACACACCGAGGCCTGTTGCAGCAGGTGAGGGGAAGGAGAGCATCAGGACCAAAAGCTAATGCATGCGGGGCTTAATACCTAGGTGACGGGTTGATAGGTGCAGCAAACCACCATGGCACATGTTTACCTATGCAACAAACCTGCACATTACGTACATGTATCCCAGAACTTAAAGTAAAATAAAATTTAAAAAAAGAAAGAAAAGAAAAATGTACTTCATCAAAACTAATGGCTAAATAAACAAAGGAAGTCTGAATTTAATTATACTCCAGATATCAAAATGGGATGAATAGTTGTTATAAAATTTAAGCCATTCTTCTTCTATTAAAAAAAATCGCCCCCATTTTACAGATGAAAAAACTGAGGCTCAGAGAGTTAAGTTGCTTGGGCTTCAGTGGAGAGTGGAAATGTAAACTTGGGTTGAGTGAGATCCTAAAGCCTGTGCTCCTAACCTTTTCTCCATGGTTCCAGCCTCTTCTCCATGACCCAGCCTCTGAGAAATGAGGTTTTCTTCCATTTTCAAAGACTGAGGGTAGGGCTGAGTGACAGTAAGGGGTGCCGACCCTGGAGCCTGACTACCTGGCTAAGATCCCAGCTCTGCCACTGACTGATGGACCTTAGACAAGTTACTTAGCCTGCCTGGCCTCAGTTTCCTCATCTGTGAAATGGGGATAGTAACAGCACCCACTTCTGAGGGCTGCTGTGAGAACTCAGTGACTTAGGGAAGAGCCTGTAGGCAGGGTAGGTGCCAAGTGAGTGTTCGCTATGCAGTATCTGTAGGAGTTGACCTCCTTACAAACTGCTGTTGCCCATTGCTACAGTTTCACTGTCCGGCCTCCGTTATCAGATTCAGAAACTGGTTCCTATCAGAACATAACCTTTACATCTTATGAAAGAGGAAGCAATGGGCTTCTTGGCAGATGCTGTGTATTTGTTCACACTGGGGTTCAGGCACCTCTGTGCCCTCTCATGGGAGGGGTCTATCCTTGCAGGCCAGAGTGTCCAGCCTTACAAGTTGCAAGGCCCCCTTCAGCGATCTGAGCCTGGCACAAGGATCCGATTGACCTATGCATCCTCTGGGTTCTCGACACACCAGGTTACTGTGACCTGGCTTAAAAACAAACACGAGCTCCCAAACCCCCAGACCAGCGTCCAGTACAGTGGACACACCTACAATGTGACCAGCAGTGTGCTTGTCCCGCTGATGGATGATGATGTGTTCTCCCACGTCGTTTGCCATGTGGAGCACAAGTTGACGTGGTTTTTCCAGAAAACCACTGGCCTGGACCAGTACCTCCAGGGTAAGATCTCTCTCTCTGCTCAGCTGAGGTAGTGCAGAGTTGGGGTGGGGACTTCTCTGAGCCTCAGTTTCCTCAATGAAAAATGAAGAAGAACCTTCAATGATAAGCAAGCACATCCCTTGTTTGATTGAGGCAAGAATTTAGTGAAATAATACCTGTAAAGCACGTAAGACAGTGCCTTGCTCATACTAACTACTCAGAAGTGGCAATTGTTATTATTATTATTATTTACAGCACTTCTCAGAACTCACTTCTTTCATCTGTAAAATGGAGACAGGATATCTTCTGGGAATTCAATTTTATTATTATCATTATTTTATAGGAAGAAGATTTGAAGAGCTTGGGAAACTAAATTCTAGGGCCAATGGTGTCTTTAGACGGGTTGGACCAATGCTTGGTAGATCTGTGAATTCCATGAGGTCATAAAGTATCATGCCTAGAAGAAATCTTAACCGTCATCCCATTGTTCTGACAACTGTAAAAGTCAGAGAAGGCAAGTGAGTGGTCCAAGCTTGCATAGCAGTAAAATTAATTCCTTGAATGTATATTGGACTTTAAAATCTACAAACTATATCTCTCTTCATTTTCTCATTCACAAAACAGGGGGAGAATTGTGCTATTGGGAAGTAAACACATCATGTTACATGGCAGAAAATATTGGTAGTAATGTCTCAAACATTTACAGCACGCAGACAGTAAAGCACACTCATGTGAATGGACTTCAATGCATAGAACTTCCCTATACTGTTTGTGCCATTTGTGGGTTACAGAAGGAAACTGAGGCTCAAAGAAGTGAAGGCTGCTTAAGGTTGTAAAGCCGGTGAGTGAGAAACCTTGGCATGAATTCCAGCTTCCAACTCTGCTCTATTTACCAGTTGTGGGATCTGCTGCAAGTCGCTTATGTTCTCCCATCCTCAGTATTTTTGTCTGTAAAATAGAGAAATGATAGTTCAGGGAATCTTCCTTATCTGAGTATTTATTATGTAATTCTCCTGAGCTAGGACGATGGTGTTGAGAAGCAAAAGTTATAGAAAATACAAATTTTCAAAAATAAATCGATTACATATAAAATTAGCTCCCACTCCAAGCCCCTCCCTACTCAACACTGCATGCATCTCAGGGCTGTGCTTCCTCTCATGGAAATATCTTTGTGGGTATCTTTATTTGGGTTCCCCTGAAAGCAGAGCCTGAACCCAGGACTTGGGGGTAGGTGGTTGGAGGGTGATGCTGAGAGGTTGGGATGAGGGAGCAGGGAGAGAGATACTAGCTTTGCAGGGGGTCGGCCAAGAAAGAGTGAGTTATTGAGCTGGATGGCCCTGTGGAAAACTGGGGCCCAATGACACTGGAGACCCTCTGAAGAACTGGGTGGACTATGCCTGAGAATTGTCTCATGAAGGAGGAGAGGTGGGGATGTGCCTGTAGTGGGGAGGTGGCATTTCGTGTTTACAGAGAAATCTGAGGCAGAGAAAAGGAAAGGGTTTTGGAAGCCCAAGGTGGGACTCGGTGTGAGTAGTACTGTCTTGCACCAGTGCGCTGAGGTCAGGCAGCTGGGAGAGGAGGCGTGGAGCCCAGAAACCCTCTGCTGTAGGAGGTTGGTCTTGCCTTGATTGATGTGTGGCAAACCTCACACCATTTTGTGCAAATAGAATCCATATCCATTGCAAAGTGCAAACTGAGATCTTGAAAAAGTTGTATTTCAAGAAGTTGAGGCAGGTGATATTGGGGAGCTGCAGGGATCACAGGCAAAGCCTTTGAGTGTTAAAAATGGAATCATAATAATAAGAAAAAATTCACGATGCTAATGATACTGTGGGCACTTCAAAAGAGAGCCCTTCGATTAAAAGATGCCCCTATGAAAATTGATAGAACACTCAAATAATTTCAAATGATTTTTCAAAATTACTCTTTAATGATTGTGCTATAAATGTGAGATTTGAAATGAAGGATTTGTTGGTACTATAGTATAAATTCTGGAAAAAAAATGATGCCAGCTTCCGTCCACTTCCAACAATTATTCTTATAAGAGTTGGTGCCTCTTTGCAATTATACTATATATTTATATGCAAATATAAATTAAGTAAATTTTTTAAAATTTAAATGCTTTTCAAGATGACGTTCCAACCAATTCCTTTTTTACAATTTCTATGAAATTGAGGCCTGATTTTGTATAGGCTGCTTCTAAGTGGCACCTTTTTTTTCTGACACCAAGTAGCTTCAGTGTTTACATTATTTGGTTTTGTGAGAATTGAATAAGAGAATGCATGCACACTGCCTCAAACATTGACTTTCAGGGGATGGGAGCAGTTGTCATCAGCCGTGCTCAGGCCTTTGTCCTCCCAGCACTGGCCTGGACACCAGACAGCCAGGAAAACTCACTGGCGGTTGAAATGGGCCTTCTCAGCCTCTTATCCTTTTTTATTTTTTTTGATCCTTCCCACCTTCTAGAACCCATGACAGTTGTGTGGAGGGCACCTTACCCTGCCCTCTTCTCCACGGGCACCACCCCAGTTACCAGGGCTTCAACACCCGGAGTCTTCCATTCTCAGGTTTTGCTCTTTTCTTGGTGAGATCCCTGTGCTCTCCCTGTGTGCTGAAAGGGAAAGACTAAGTGCAGGTAATAAGCTCAGGGAGGGTGTCTGCCTCAGCTGCCATTAGCAACATCATTGATAGACTTTTACAAGTCTGGGTAGGTTGAGGATGAGAAAAGAATATTTGGGAATTGGATTCCTGTAACTCCTTCAAATTGCCCTACAGAAAGAGTTGCTTCCTCTACCCTAGACCAAGAGCTGAAATCTCTCTTAACTAGGCCCATGAGAGCTGATCTGACCTCAGAGAATTTCATGATTTTAGAGTCTTAGAAACAGAGGGAAAGTGACTTGCACAGGTCTCGCAGTTGGCTATGGTATCAGTGCAATGACCAGAATCCAGATCTCCCAGCCCTCAGTTTAGTGTTAGAGCTGCATCGTGTTGTGTGTTCATAAGAAGTCTATTGAAATATTTAGTGTTTTATAGGACTTCAAATTTGTCCTGTTTTCCTTATTGTGAATACATTCTATTGCATAGCTGAAAATGTGGCTGAAAAAATTCTAGAAGTCATTAGATCATAATTTTGGAAGCCTGGAATCATAAATGCTTATAGCCTTATAGTTTGGGTGTTAGAATAGCATAAAGGTAAAACCTACTGTCTCTGGTGTAATCCCACCTTTGCTACTTGTGCCCTCGGGCAAGTTACTTAATCTCTATAATCTGAAGTTCCTTCCTATGTACAATTTTAACATCTTGGATTCTAAGACTTAGAGTCTATGAATCTTCAAATCTTAAAATTATCTAGTCATAGAGTAAGTTAAATGATTTGTAGCTTCTTCAGTGGAATTCATACCTCATCTTTTCATCTTTAATGGCCAAAGTGAAAAAGAAAAGAAAGATTAAATGACTTTCTTCAATCCCATCCATCCATCCACTCATCCATCCACCCACCCATCCATCCATCTATCCATCCATCCGCTCATCCATCCACCCACCCATCCATCTATCTATCCATCGATCCATCCATCCATCCATCCATCCATCCATCCATCCATCCATCCATCCAGGCATGCATTCACTCATGAATTTACGCTGTCATTCAATCATGCATTTCCTTATGTGTGCATTTGTTAACCAATACCTAAAGTATTCCTCTGTGGCAGGCTCTGGTTAGGCCCTAGGCAGATGACTTCATCCTCAGGGAGCTCCCAGGCACCTACAGATGGCTTCCCACAATAATTGTTTGCTTTCTCTGGGCTTTGTCAGTTCCCCCTACAGTGACAGTGTCCCAGTCTTCCACCTCCTCCAGCTTGGTGGCTGTTACTTGCCTCGTGCAGAGATTCTATCCACAAAACGTGCACCTTGCCTGGCTAGAGGACTGCCATACACTCAAAGGCACTGAGCAACCCACATTAAAGAAGAATAATGATAGGTCCTACACCCTGGAAAAGCTGCTGCTGGTGAATGCATCAGTGCAGGGGCCTGAGCGGGTGCTCACCTGCATGATGGAACATGAGGGACAGCCTCCCAAACGGGCTAACCTCGTACTGTCCACAGCAGCCCACACCGCTTATAAGCCCATTGGGAGCACAGGTAAGTTCACTTCTTCTTCTGTGAGCACCTGGGGTCACTTCTGTATCCTGAGTGGATTTCAGAAGGTACTGGGAGGAGGGGGAGCTTGATAATCAATGAGGTCTTATCCCACTCGAGAGTCTGTGATTCCTTAAATAACCAGAATGGTTTCTGGCCAGTGGATGCCTTTAAATCTGGCCATCCTGAAAGGTTCTTTAATTTCTGTGGAAAGAGTGATCTCCTGGCTCAAGCTCCTTCAAAATTCCCAAGAGAGAGTTCAGCTTAGTGCACTCACTACTGGTGCTTCTCAGATGGTTGTCAGCAAGGCTGTCTTGTTTAAAATATTTGTTTCGGTTATATGGAGGCGAGCTTGAGTGCACATAAAACCTGCTTGCATGATGTCTGCTCCAATGATAGAACAGCCTCTTCCACTTGATTCTTGCACAGGCACTTCACCCCTGTGTGCTTCAGTCTGTTCATCTGTAGATAGTGTCTAATAAATGTTCCTAATTCATTGTCTTTATGAAGATTAAATGAATTAATACATGTAAACTTTACGTATGGTCTATAATAAATGTCAGCTATTGATACCTATTATTTGAATTCAGGTAAGATTATTTTAAAATTTAGTTTCCAGTAGTTACAACTTTGGAAACTTAGGCAACTGAGTCCATTACCTTCCCATAACCTCAGTTTACTCATCTAGAAAATGGTCCTAATGATACCAAACTCTTAAGATGGTAGCAAAGTTATATTAAATGACCACAGGCCTTCGGGACATGGAGCTGATTATATTATACTTAGGTTTGTGCCTCTAAAGCCTTGCACAGTGGCTGCTATGTGTCAGATATTCAAATCAGCATTTGAGCCAAATTCAAGGTGAGGCTTACAGGTCAAGGTCAACTCTTATTTCCAAGAGAGGACTAAATGTGGAGAGAAGACATGGGTTTGGAATCAGAATCAGGTGCAACCTGCAAGCTCTAGAACTTCTTGACTACATGACCTCAGAGAGGGCTTTTAAACTCACAGAGCCTCCACGTGACGGCTCCTTCTATCCTTTGGCATTGAGGCCCAGAGATGCCTGCCCTTGTCTTTGTGGTTTTCCTCCTGGGCCTCAGGGTGCTGCTGGTGATGAGTTTCACAGTGACCTACATCTGCAGGAGGTGGAACCTGTGACAGGTGAACATAGGATAGGCTTTAGTCTTCGGTACTGGGTGACAGGCTGGCAAGAGGCCTACAGGGCAAGCCCAACAAAGTCACTGGGGCCCTCAAGAGTGATCCAGCCTCAAGGGAAGGTTGGGAACACTCTTTATTTTCTCCAAATGTTTTTTGCGATTCCTAGAGTCTTTCAGATCCGTGCATTGTGTAGTGCCCTGGAGGTGGAAAGGTTTCAAATTCCATTCTTTGGGACCCTGGAGATGGGAGGAGGGGGTCCAAGGTGTGGTAGTGGTATGAATGTTGAGACCCAAACTCCAGAGTCCCCCAATACACTGTTACATGTTTCAGTTTTCATATGATATATTTTGGGGATGCATAAGGAAAGTATTGCTAAAATCAATGAATAGAACCTATTCAAGGGACTTGGAGGTTCTGACTAGTGGCAAAGATGAATGTGGGTATGGGAGAGAGTTTAGAACCCAGAAAGTGGCATTGGGGTGTAATGAGTAGGGGCTTTATTTCTGATCTGTGCCACGAATCCAGACTAAGCAGAATACCTGCCATATAGTAGGTGCTCAATAAATATTTGTGAAATTAATACATGAATAAACAAACACATGAATGAATGATTTTTTTTTCTCTACAGCCCCTGCATGCCCTGTGATACATTACCTCCAGCCCTCTCCAAGGGGTTCAAGTGGGGAGAGGCTGCAAGGACTTATAGGTCACTAAAGACCCCTTTATTCCGTCCCTGCCACCCCCATCGCGGACACGCTCCCTTCCGCACACCCTCCTGGTGTTCCTTCCCTCAGAGCTTTGGAGCTGAGTCAGGGACGAGTTTTCTTCATGAGGACTCCAGGGATGTCTTGACCCTGATGTACTGAGCTTCAGATTGGCCCTGCTTCCAACCAAGAGAATTAAACTGCTCAAGAAAAGAAGTTTCCATTCTGCCCCTGGTCATGAACAATCCTTAATTTTCAGAGCAGTTTTTACTTTTGTGCGGGGCTTTTGAAAATATGATTTCATTTTAACACACATATATTTTGAAATCACTGGGAAGTTGCATAAGCATTTTTCTCTTCTGAAATGTACAGAAAAAATACAAACAATACCCATGGACCTAACATCCTATCTTTTAAAAACAGTAACATTTGCCATTATGATCTTCAGTTCTTTAAAAACAAAAAACAAAAAACAAAACACTGTTCTGAATTTATCATTCTCAAGCATGGTTTTATAACTTTATAACATATGTATGAATCCTTAAGCAATGTATAGTATTACTTTTCATATTTTAACATTATATAGATGCTTTGACACTGTACACAGCAATCTGGAACTTTATTTTTTATGCTTAACACAGTTTGTGAGGTTTATTTCTGTTGATATATGGAGCTACATTTTATTAATTTTCCACTGTTCTGTGGTCTTCTATTGTAAGAATATGCCACAATTTATCAATTCTTCTCAAGACAGATTTTGAAGCTTCATTCAGTGTTTTGCTAGTACAACTTTGCAACAAACATTCTTTTATTTGTTTCCCTGGGCATGTGTGGGAGAGTCTGCCTTGTTCCTCTAGCTTGGTGCACAAAGCTGCAGTATTGGTATGATTTGGGAGCTTTTGTTACACAAAAAAAATTTCCAATTGTTGCTTAAGTTTTACTCTTTCCATTTATCCCTTTCATCTCGCTATATATATATATATATATATATATATATATATATATATACACACACACATATATATACACATATATATATACACATATATATACACATATATATATACACATATATATACACATATATGTATACACATATATATACACATATATGTATACACATATATATACACATATATGTATACACATATATATACACATATATATACACATATATATACACATATATATACACATATATATACACATATTATATACACATATATATACACATATATACACATATATATACACATATATATATACACATATATATATACACATATATATATATACACATATATATATAATATTTTTGAATGTTTATTGCATTTTTTAAATAGATACCTTTTAGGAAGTTAAAGAGTTAAGGAGTTTTCCTTTCTTCTATTCCGATATTAATGTATTTTAAAATCAAACAAAAGCAAAAGAAATCATCACCAGCAGACTTGAATTATAAGAAATACTAGTGGACACCCTTCAGGCACAAAGAAAATGACACCAGATGTAAATCTGGATCCATACACAAGAATGAAGAACAGAAAAAGTAAATAGATGCATAAATTTAAAAGACATTTAAACAAAATCTATAGATGATAAGTGAATGTTTAAAGCTAAAAATAATAACGCAGTGTGGATATTATGATAATAACGCATTAATATCATATAATACCTGATACAATGGCACAAAGGCTGGGAGAGGGAATTGGATGTACACAGCCAGAGTATTCCTATATTATACATACAGTGGTATAAATATTGGGGCTTCTTTTTCAGGATCACTGTATATTTTTATATTTTTTCATGTTGTCTTTTATGTCATTTACAAACAGCTTTGTTTTTAATATAAACCTTGTGCACTTTTATTAAATTTATCTTTTTAAGACTTAAATGTAAGATCTGGAACTATAAAAAGAAGAAAACTTGGGAAAAGCTCTTCTGGACACTGGCTGAGACAGAGACGGAGTCTCACTCCATCGCCCAGGCTGGGGTGCAGTGGCACGATCTAGGTTCACTGCAACCTCCGCCTCCCAGGTTCTAGTAATTCTCCTGCCTCAGCCTCCCAAAGAGCTGGGATTACAGGCGCACACCATCACATCTTGTTATATTTTTCTGCTGGTGTGTGTGCACACGTGTGTGTATGCATTATAGATGGTAGGAATCTTATTTTTTTATAGATGATAGGAATCTTATCTTTTCTCTGGAAGGATTAATTATCCAGCACCCCCTGATATCCACTGCCAGCTTTGCTATATAGCGAGTGTCTATAGATCTGTGGTTCCTTCGATGAGCTCTGTGTTCCACTGATCTACTTGTCTAGCTCTCTGTCAATACAGGCAAATTAAATTGTGCTTCACTTTATTGCACTTCACAGACACTGCGTTTTTCACAAATTGACGGTTTGTGGCAACCCTGCATTGAGCAAGTCTATTGGTGCCATGTTTCCAACAGCATGTGCCCACTCCGTGTCTCTGTCACATTTTGGTAATTCTTGCAATATTTCAAATTTTAATAATTATTATATCTGATCTGAGGATCTGTGATTAGTGTAATGGTCTTGTGGCTCCGCGAACCGTGTCCTTATGAAACAGCACACTTGATGGAAAATGTCTTGTGTGTTCTGACTGCTCCACCTACTGGCCGTTCCCCCGTCTTGCTCCCTCTCCTCAGGCCTCCCTACTTAGCCTGAGGCACAGGGAGAGGCATTGGCCTGAAATTAGGCCAATTAATAACCCTGCAACGGCCTCTAAGTGCTCAAGTGAAAGCGAGAGTTGCAAATCGCTCACTTTAAATCAAATCTAGAAATGATGAAGCTTAGTAAAAAAAGGCTTGCCCAAAGCTGAGACAGGCTGAAAGCTAGGCTTCTTGCACCAGACACTCAGCCAGCTGTGAATGCCAAGGAAAAGTTTTTGAAGGAGATTAAAAATACTACTCCAGTGAGCACATGACTGATAAGAAAGCAACACAGTCTTATTGCTGATAAGGAGAAAATTTTAGTGGTCTCGAGAGATGATCAAACTAGCCACAACATTCCCCTGCAATATCTCCGAGGTATGCTTGTGCCTGGCCTAGCATAGCTCCACAGTAAGTTTTGATATCTTTTGGGCAAGTCATCTCACCTTTTCTTATCCAAAATTGTTGTGACTATTCTTGGCTTAAATGCATTTTAGACTCACTTTATCAACTTTCATGAAAAATCCTTTTAGATTTATTAATTGATTCCATGGAATTCATATATTATTTTGGAGACATTTACATTTTTCCAGTATTGAGACTTCCCATTTATGGGCATGGTATACCTCTATTTATTTAGGTTTTCTTTTATGAAGTTCAGTTTACAATTTTACAGTTTTTTTCTCTATAATGGTCTTTTGCATCGTTAGTTAGAGACGCCTTTAATATATTCTAGTTTATGGAATCTTTAAAATTTATTATTACTTTTTTCAGTGGTTGTTGACTACTGAATAGGATTGCAATTGAGTTTTGAACATCAATCTTAGAGCTGGAAAGCTTATGAAATTCTCTTACTAGTGCTAATAGTATGGATATTCTTTTTATATATAACTTTTTTTTTTTTTTTTTTTTTTTTTTTTTTTTTTAAGATGGAGTCTCACTTTGTTGCCCAGGCTGGAGTGCAGTGGTGTGATCTTGGCTCACTGCAACCTCTGCCTCCCAGGCTCAAGCGATTCTCCTGTCTCAGCCTCCCAAGTAGTTGGGATTACAGGCGCATGCCACCATGCCAGGAGACAGGGTTCCACTGTGTTGACCAGGCTGGTCTCAAACTCCTGACCTCTAGTGATCCACCATCCTCACCTCCCAAAGTGCTGGGATTACAGGTGTAAGCCACCCCACCTGGCCTTTGTGTGTAACTCCTATAACATTCGTGTAATGATCTAAATTAGTGTTTATCTTTCTCAAAGTTACATGTACACACTAAGAGTCAAATAAATAGTTATATAAGTTTTACATATAAAAATTGGAGTCTCCCTAACATCCAACCATATTCTATCTCCCAGAAGCAACTATTCTCAATTTTTAATAGATTATCTTAGACTTTTACTGCCATATCTCATATAACATGTTCATATTGCCACTTCTTCATTTTTCAGTATTAGGCGTTACTTTTGACTTCCCACAATTACAGATGGTAATATAATGCTCCACCATTGCTGACTTAATGCCACACGTGAACACTTTCTATTCCCCATCAACTGAATATGATTATATCATAATTTGGGATAATTTAAGAGTCGATGTCTATATTGTAATAAGTGTTTGAATATTCTTACTTTCTTTTTTTTTTTTTTTTTTTGAGATGGGGTCTCACTCTGTCGCCCAGGCTAGCGTGCAATGGTGCAATTTTGGCTCACTGCAATCTCTGCCCCCTGGGTTCAAGCAATTCTCCTGCCTCAGCCTCCCTAGTAGCTGGAATTACAGGTGTGCACCACCACGGCTGGCTAATTTTTGTATTTTTAGTAGAGACAGAGTTTCACCATGTTGGCCAGGCTGGTCTCGAACTCCTGACCTCAATTGATCCACCCACCTCAGCCTCCCAAAGTGCTGGGATTACAGACATGAACCTCCCCACCCGGCTGAACATTATTTCCAGCTGGGTCTGGTAATATTCCTAGCTTTTGCTTATGTTCAGTCTCTCCTGTGTATGTTTGTGTAATCACCACTATAGTCAAAATACAGACAATTCCATAACCATAAAGGTCTCCCTGGTGCTACCTCATTATAGTGACACCCACCCTCACCATACTAAGTCTCTGGCAAATGCTAACCTCTTCTATATCTCTGTAATTTTGACAATGTTATATAAATGGGATCATACAGTATGTAACATTTTGAGTTTGATTTTTCACTCAACATAATGCCTTTGAGATCCTTACAAGTTGTTGCATATATAAATAATTTATTTTTTTATTGCTGAGTGTTATTTTATTGTATGGATGCATACTGTTTGTTTAGCCATTCACTTGTAAGACAAGTTTGTCTTACACTGGTTGTTTCCAGTGTTTTGCTGTTACAAATAAATCTGCTACAAACATTTGTGCACGGTTTTTTGTGTGTACATAAGTTTTCATTTTTCTGGGACAAATGCATGGGAGGGCAATTGCTGGTTCATGTAGTATAGTGAGTGTATGCTTAGTTCTTTTTAAGAAGTTGACAACCAGTTTTATAGAGTGGGTGTATTATTTTACATTCCCATTTTCAATGTATTAGATATTCAGTTTCCCCGCATCCTAGCCAGCATTTGATATTGTCACTATGTTTTACTATAACTGTTCTATTAGGTACATAGTAATAATATCTCATTATGATCTTAATTTGCATTTTCCTGATGGTTAGCGATGTAAGCATCTTTTATGTGTTTATTTTCTATCTATATATCCTTGTTGATAAAATGTCTCTTTATGTCTTTCACCCATTGTGATATTGTGAAATATATATTTGGTCTTCAACCCTGTTTCCTGCCAAACAACCCCTAAAATCCTTAGACTCTCCAAAGAGATGTCTTTTTGTGTCTTAATGAATTGACTGATGGCTGGGAGCACCTCCGTAGCTTCAGGATGGCGACTGGTCACCTGAAGAGTAAGTCGATTAAACGATTTAATCAATTATGCCTACATAATGAAGCTTCTGTAAAAACCCAAAAGGACTGGGTTCAGAGAGCTTCTGGACAGCTGAACACATACAAGTTCCTGAAAAGTGCTGCACCTGCGGACGTCATGGAAGCTCCGTGTCCCTTCCCCATTCCTCTCCCTATGCATCTCTTCATCTATATCCTTTATAATAAACTGGCAAACTTAAGTGTTTCCCTGAGTTCTGTGGGCCGCTCTAGCAAATTAATTAAACACAAGGAAGAGGTCGTGAGATCTCTGATTCATAGCCAGTGAGTCAGAAGCACATTCCTTGCAATTGGCATTGGAAGTGGGGAGAAGTTCCATGGGACTGAGTGCTCATCCCCGTGGTGTCTGACGTTACCTCCAGATAGATAGCATCAGATTAGAATTGGATTGAGGACACCCAGCTGGTGTCTGCTGCAGAATTGATTGCTTGCTTGTTGGTGGAGAAGAAATCTCCCACATTTGGTCACAGAAGTCTTCTGTGTTGATTGTTGCTATATGAGTGCAGAGGAAAAACAGTTTGAGTTTTCCCACCTTTACCCACTTGTAATGGAAGTTTTTGTCTTGTTTTGTTGTTTTTAACTGTTGAGTTTTGAGAGAGATATCCTAGATTTGAACCCTTTGTCAGATGGGTGGTTTGCAAATATTTTCACCCGGTCAGTAGCTTTGTTTTCATCCTTAACATGGTATTTTGGAGAGCGAAAGTTTTAAATTTTGATGAAATCCAACTTATCAATTTTTAAAATTGATCATGCTTTTGATGTCAGGTCTAAGAATCTGCCATCGAGCCTTAGATCCTGAAGATTTTCTCCTAAACATTTTATAGTTTTATGTTTTATCTTTGAACCTACGATCTATTTTGAGATAATTTTTGTATAATGTATGGTATGAGGTTTCGGTTGAGGTTCATTTTTTGTTTATGGATATCCAGCACCTTTTGTTGAAAAGACTGTTTCACTTGTGGAATCAATCCTTCCTCCATTGAATTGCTTTTGCTACTTTGAAAAATCAAGTGTCTGTACTTGTACGGGGCTGTTTCCAGGTTTTCTATTTTGTACCATCGATCTATGTGTCTGTTCCTCTGCCAATATCACAAAGTTTTGATTACTACATCTTTATCATGTCTTAAAATCAGGTATATTGATTCCTTCCACTTTATTCTGTTTTGACTCTTTCAGTTCTCTTTTTTTCCCTTTGTTCATATAAATTTAAAAATAGTCATATATATTTACAAAAATATGTCTAGAATTCTGACAGAAATTGTGTTAAACCTATATATCAGTTTGGATAGAATTGACATTTTTATTATGCTGAGGCTCACAGTCCATGGATATAGCATGTCTCCCTGTGATGGTTAACTTTAGGTGTCAACTTGAGTGGGTTAAGGGATAGCCAGATAGCTGGCAAAACATTATTTCTGGGTGTGTCTCTGAGGGTATTTCTGGAAGAGATTAGTGTCTGAATCAGTGGACTGAGTAAGGAAGATCTGCCCTCATCTAATGAAGATGGGCACCATTCAATCAGTTAAGAGCCTGGATAGAACAAAAAGGCAGAGGAAAGATGAATTCACTCTTTCTTCAGGAGCTGGGACACCAATCTTCTCCTGCCCTTGGATATCAGAACTCCAGGTTATCTGGCCACTGGACTCCAAGACTTACACCAGTGCTATGAGATTACCCAGTCCCAATCTCTACCTCTGTAGAGTCTGAGGCCTTCAGCCTCTGACTGACAGATACGCCAACATCTCCCCTGGTTCTCAGGCCTTCAAATGCAGAACGAGCCACTCCACCAGCTTCTCTGGTTCTCCAGCTTGCAGACAGCATATCGCGGGACTTCTCGGCCTCCATGATCACGTGAGTCAATTCCCATAGTAAATCCCATCTCATCCATCTATTGATATATGTATCCTATTGGTTCTGTTTGTCTGGAGAATGCTGACTAACACATTCCTCTTTATTTGAATCTTCTTTGATTTCTTTCATCAGTGTTTGCAGTTTTCAGCATACAAGTCTTATATATGTTTTGTTAAATTTATAGCTATTTCATTTTTGAGCAAATTAAATGGTATTATATTTTAAATTTTGGTTTTCATGGGTTTATTGCTAGTATATAGAATTAAAGGTAACTTGGCCAGGCATGGTGACTTACGCCTGTAATCCAAGCATGTTGGGAGGCCGAGGCAGGTGGATCACCTGAGGTCAGGAGATTGAGACCAGCCTGGCCAACATGGTGAAATCCTGTCTCTGCTAAAAATACAAAAATTGGCTGGGCATGGTGGCGGACACCTGTAGTCCCAGCTACTTGGGAGGCTGAGGCTGGAGAATCACTTGAACTCTGGAGTCGGAGGTTGTGGTGAGCCAAGATCATGCCACTGCACTCCAGCCTGGGCGACAGAGTGAAACTATGTCTAAAAAAAAAGAATTAAAGTTAACTTTTTGCATGTTGATCACGTAGTCTGTCACCATTCTGAACTCACTTATCAGTTCTAAGAGTCTCTTCTGTAGATTCTGTAGAATTTCCTACAAAGGCTATTATGTCATCTACAAATAGAGATAGTTTTATTTCTTTCTTTCTGATATGTATGCCTTTTATTTCCTTTTCTAGCCTTATTGCCCTGGCTAGGACTTCCAGTACTATACTCAATAAAAGTGGTGAGAGAGGAAGAAACACTGTGACTGAGAAGTCATGGTGAGGCCAGGGCCTGTCACCACCACTGCTGCCACCGAACAACAGAGAAAGCTCCAGGAGTACCTAGAAGTCGAAAGGAACTTCAAGTGCCAAACACTGAGCTTTATCTAAAAGCCAAAAATAATTGCCCAAATCTATCCAAGAGAATGTTATCAATCATGCTGTTTTGCCTGTTAAAGCATAAGGCCCATCAGCATTAAACTCCAGGCCAGACAAGCCAATATTACAAGGTCCCAGAAGCCAAAGTTGAAGCCACTAAAACTGGGCAAAAGGCTGAATATGTTCCTTCTAACCAAACTGTAAGCCTCCAGCAGTAGCTTACAGCAGCACAAAGCTGGATCATTCACCATGGAAAAGCTGTCAAGAAAACCCATGGGGTCACTTAATGCACAGGATTTGAAGACTACAAAGCAGCAGTTAACATATCAAGGAATGTTAAGTGTACAGACTCCATAGGAAATGCCCGCATTGAAAATTAATCTTTGGTTAGCTTTCTAAAAGAGATTAATGAAGAGAATTTGCCTCAAACCTTGTCAGACCCTGAGAGGAAGCCAGACTCTCAATTATGTACTATAAAGAAGTTAAAGAATAACTCTCATAATTGAACCAAGAGCAATTTGGTTCCTCAACAAGCCTTGGGCAGATATTCAGTGACTAGTGCTGCCCTGAAAGACAGAGTTCATAAACAATTTGTTGGAGAAACACAAGTCAAGCTTCTATCAGTAAAGTCATAGCAACTCTCTCAAGAAGATCTTCCAAGACTGGGAGAAAAGCCCCCAAGACAGTTCCCTCTCTCTTTGTTCAGACCCTTAGTAGGACTCAAGCATCAAAAATAAAAAATTAATGGTGGAGGGTACAAAGGTTAATAGGGTTAATTATTAAAGAGCATGTATAAGTTAGTGAATAGGAAGTAAAACATACCAAAACCAGGACATACTCCAGTTTGTTTCAGGGAGGATATAGTAACAGACATTTAAACATTAAGCAAGATCAGCAGTCCATTCAACCTTGTTTTGGGCCTTGGTCGTGTGCACTGCAAAAATCAAAAGCTATAAGCCAGAGGCTAGTTTGACAGTTGGCAGCTTAAATTCAGTCATTCCCAGCACCCACGGCGTAAGAGCAAATGGAACTAATGGGGACAAATGCCACAACAGCTTACAACATAGAGCACAGGCATTGGTCTCCAAGCTGAAAAAGGCTCTTCTGTTTTCTAAACAAGAGAGCTCCCAAAACTCAAGCTGGTAACACAATCATGAAGGAAAAGGAGTGTCAAAAGGGACCCAAATGAATCCAAATACCGAAAAGAAGACAATAGCAGAGGATCAAAGGAAACAACTGGAAGAATGACAGAAATCTAAGGGGAAAATCTATAAGTGGCCTCCTATGACACGTAAAACAGAAAGAAAAATAATAGAGAAAATAAATATTCTGGAAGACCGTTGAAAAAAAAGAGGAAGAAAAGAAAGCACAGCTTCAACTGCTCCATAAAACTAACAACACTCTGACAGAATGTCTGCAGCTCATTGAAAGGGGTGTGGTTTTTAAGGAAATATTTGCCATATTGTCTAGTATTCCTGAGGCTGAAGAACTGCTAAATTCTGGTTCTACAAAGCAAAGTTGTTAGCCAAGAAAGGCACCTATGATGCTACTGGGCTATATGAAAAGGCCATTAAAAATGAGGCAATACCAACACAAGTGTTACAGGAAGTTGTTCTTAACATTTTGCAAGACCCAAACAAAACCATGGAAGGAATCACCTCTGACTTTTTAGTTGCTAAAACTGACATGACATCAGCAGAAGAGCTGGCCAAGAGGATGGAATCTGGAAAGTCTTGTTCTTCTCAAAAAAAAAAAACCAAACAAACAAACAAAAAGGAACAGGTACAGCAACACCCCAAATAATGAAGGCATAACAGGATAATCATCCTGATATCAAATTGCAGATCGCTCCAGCCCTGGAATAAATGGAGTGGCAGAATTGCAAGACGTGAAACTTATCACTCCTGTACGGGGTTCAGTGGAGATCAAACAAGCAGTATCCCACTACCTGGAAAGGCTGCAGGAATGCAATTTAGTAGTGACTTCTCTTGACAAGCTATTAGGTGTGAAAGAAACACAGCATTTTATATTTTATAAAAATGAGATTTTGCCTGTAACGTTAGGATTTCAAATCCTTGAATCATAAGTTTTTTAAAAAAGGTGTTTTAGAGGGCTGGGCATGGTGACTTACACCTGTAATCCCAGCACTTTGGGAGGCCGAGGCAGGCGGATCACGAGGTCAGGAGATCGATACCATCCTGGCTAACACAGTAAAACCCCATCTCTACTAAAAATACAAAAAAAATTAGCTGGGCATGGTGGCGGGCACCTGTAGTCCCAGCTACTCGGGAGGCTGAGGCAGGAGAATGGTGTGAACTCGGGAGGCGGAGCTTACAGTGAGCCGAGATGGTGCCACTGCACTCCAGCCTGGGCAACACAGTGAGACTCCGTCTCAAAAAAAAAAAAAAAAGGTGTTTTAGACCCTCTGAGGTAAGAAATGCTCTTGTTCAAGTGACCTAGAAAATAACGTATAATAGAGAGGCATAATGGATGCAGAAGATTATGTATGGCCTCTCAGGATTTCAAGTAATTTGCTTGGCTTACTCAGATTTTCTATACCCACAGGAAAGTCTTTGGTGTATGTAGGTTGACAGAGTTTTATGGTATACATATATTTCAAACTATTAAGAATTAATTTGTCCTGTAAGTATGGTAAAAATTTGTACTTTATTGATGTACTTTAACCCCAACATAGTTCTTTTTTATATTAGAAGGTTGGTGCCACAGTATGATGGTCTTTCCTTTCTGCGTCCACCTTAGCGGGGAGGGCAAGTCCTTTCACGGTGGAAGATCTGAGCTTTCACGCTGGCTTGCCAGGCTAGATGGGACATAACAGACCACCTGGTTCAAATCTCCTCACTTGCAGATGAATTTATACTAGGTTTGTCTTTGCTCAGAGCCTACAAATGATATTCATGTATGATCTTTGATTTCTGTTGCAGTAACCCTGTAGATGAAGGGGAATCCTTTCTGTGCCAGGTCTCCTGGAATGAAATGCAATCTTGAATTGGGGTGGTCATCTGGCTCTTTTGGTTTATATTCAACCCTAATTTTGCATTTATTATTCAGAAATACTCAAAGTAAAAACAAAAGGGGCAAGAGAGAGGGGCGAGGAGGAGAGAGAGGGGTGAGGACACTGCTTCTTCATTTCAGTGCTTTGATCTGCCAGGGGACAACAGGCCTGAGCAGGCAATGCAAGCCCCAGAGACTGTTATTAGTTCTTTTACTTTCTTTCTGAGAAACTGCTCTAGGAAAGGTAAAATCAGAGTCATGATGGTAACATAATACATAGAAAACCCTGGTCAAGATATTTTAAATTTTTACTTTGTAAATATTTAAGTGTTATCCTTTAAACAATCATTAATATTTTGTTTATTCCTGCTTTTAAAAAAAGAGTGATGAGAGAAAACATTCTTGTTTCTACCCCTATCTAGGGAGAAAGGCTTCAATCTTTCATCATTAAGCATGTTAGCTGTAGCATTTTGTTTTTGTAGATGTCCTTTTTAAAAAAAAATTTTAGTTGACACATAATAATTATACGTATTTAAGGTGCACAGAGTGATATTTTGAAACAGGCATATGAAGTATAATGATCAAATCAGGGTAATTAGGATATCCAGCACTTCAAACATTTATCATTTCTTTGTTTTGGGAACATTCAAAATTCTTTCTTCTAGCTTTTTGAAAAATGCAGTAACTTATAGTTTACCATATGCACCCTACAGTGCTGTGGAACATCAGAACTCATTTTTCATATCTAGCTGAAATTTGTAACCATTCACCAACTTCTCCGTATCTTCCCTACCCTCCTACCCTTCCCAGCCTCTGATAACCGTAAGTCTCTACTTCTATGGGCTCCATTTTTTTTTAGTTCCCACATGTAAGAACACGTGGTATTTGTCTTTCTGCGCCTGACTTATTTTACTTAACAATGTCCTCCAGGCTCATCCATGTTGCTGCAAATGACAGGATTTCATTCTTTTTTTTTTTTTTTAAATGGCTGAGTAGTATTCTATTGTGCACATAATACCACATTTTTTTATTCATTCATCTGTTGATGGACATTTAGGCTGATTCCATACCTTTGCAATAGTGAATAGTGCTGCAATAAACATGAGCATCCCTTTGAGAAACTGATTTCCTTTCCTTTGGATAAATACCCAGTAGTAGGATTGCTGGATTGTAAGGTAGTTCTATTTTTAGTTTTCAGAGAAGTCTTTATACTACTTTCAATAATGGCTCTACTAATTTACATTCCCACCAACAGTGTATAAGAATTTCCCTTTCTTCACATCCTTGCCAGCATTTGTTATTTTTTGTCTCTTTGATAATAGCCAATCTTAACTGGGGTGAGATATCTCATTGTGGTTTTGATTTGCATTTCCTCATGGTTAGTGATGTTGAACGTCTTTTCATATATTTGTCGGCCATTTATTTGTATGCCTTCTTTTGAGAAATGTCTAATTAGATAATTTGCCCACTTTTAAATTGGGTTATTTGTTTTTGGTTGTTAAGTTGTGTGAGTTCCTTGTATATTCTGAATATCAGACCGTTGTTGGGTGAATAGTTTGCAAACTTTTCTCCCATTCTACAAGTTGTCTCCTCACTCTGCTGATTGTTTTCTTTGCTGTGCAGTAGTTTTTTAGTTTAATATAGTCCTATTTGTCTGTTTTGTTGCCTTGTTGCCTGTGCTTTTGAAGTCTTATCCATAAAATCTATGGCTATAGCAATGCCCTGAAGCAGTTCCTCTGTATTTTCTTCCAGTAGTTTTATAGCTTCAGGTCTTACATTTAAGTCTTTAATCCATTTTCAGGTGATTGTTGTGTATGGTGAGAGACAGAGGTCGTTTCATTCTTCTGCATATGGATATCCAATTATTCTGGCACCATTTATTGATAAGATATCCTTTCTCTGATGTATGTTTTAGGGGCCTTTATTGAATGTCAGGTGAATACACAGATTTATTTCTGGGTTTTCTATTCTGTTTCATTTTTTTTATGTGTCTATATACCAATACCATGCTGTCTTGGTAACTGCAGCTTTATAGTATGTTTTGAAGTAAGGTAGTGTGATACCTCTAGCTTTGTTTTTTTTGCTCAGCATTGCTTTGACTATTTAGGATCTTTCGTGGTTCCATACAAATTTTAGGATTTTTTTTTTCTGTCTGTGAAGAATATAATTGGTATTTTGATAGGGATTGCATTGCATCTGTGGATTGTTTTGGGTAGTATGATCATTTTAACAATATCAGTTCTTATAATCCATGAGCACAGGATGTTTTTCCATTATTTTGTATTCTCTTAAATTTCTTTCATCAGTATTTTGTAGTTTTTATTGTGGAGGTTTTTCACCTCCTTGGTTAACTGTATTCCTAGATATTTTATTTTATTTTATTTTATTTTTATAGCTATTGAAAATGGGATTGCTTTTTAAATGTGTTCTTCAGCTATTTATTGTTGGTGTATAAAAATACTACTAATTTTAGTGTTGATTTTGCATCCTGCAACTTTACTGAATTTGTTTATTAGTTCTAAGAGGTTTTTGGTGGAGTCTTTAGTCTTTTTCTATATATAAGATCATATCATCTGCAAAGAGGGACAATTTGACTTTTTCTTTTCCAATTTGGATCTTTTATTTCTTTCTTCTGCTTGATCATTCTGATTCAGACTTCCACTACTATAATGAATAGGAGTGGTCAAAGTGGGCATCTTTGCCTTGTTCCAGTGCATAAAGGAAGAAAGGCTTTTGCTTTTCCCCATTCAGTAGCTGTGGGTTTGTTATATATGGCCTTTATTATGTTGAGGTATGTTCTTTCAGTGCCTAATTTGTTAAGAGTAAGTTTTATTTAGAAGGGATGTTGAATTTTATCAAATCCTTTTTTCTGCATCTATTGAGATGATCATATGGTTTTTGTCTTTCCTTCTGCTGCTGTGATGTATCACATTTATTGATTTGTGTGTGTTGAACCATCCTTGCATCCCTAGAATAAATGTTATTTGATCATGATGTATTATCTTTTTGATGTGTTGTTGGATTTAGCTTACTAGTATTTTGCTGAGGATTTTTGCATCTATGTTAGTCAGGGGTATTGCCTGCAGTTTTCTTTTTTATTGTTTCCTTGTCTGGTTTTGGTATCAGGGTAATGCTGGCCTCATAGAATGAGTTAGTAAAAATTCCCCTTCAATTTTTTTGAGCAGTTTAAGAAGAATTAGTGTTAGTTTGTTATAAGTTTGGTAGGATTTAGCAGTAAAGCTGTTTGGTCCTGGGCTTTTCTTTGTTGGGAGAGTTTTTTATTACTGGTTCAATCTTGTTACTTGTTATTGGTATGTTCAGATTTTCTGTTCCTTTCTAGTTCAATCTTGGTGTGTTGTATACGTCCAGGCATTTATCTATTTCCTCTTGGTTTACAATTTGTTAGCATATAATTGTTCATCATAGTCTATGATGATCCTTGGTATTTCTGTGGTATCAGTTGTAATGTCTCCTTTTTCATTTGAGGATCCAGTCTCATTCCCCTACATGTGGCTTTCCAATTGTCCCAGCACAATTTGTTGAATAAGGTGTCCTTGCTCCACTTACATGTTTTTGTTTGCTATGTCAAAGATCAGTTGGCTGTAAGTATTTGGCTTTATTTCTGTGGTCTCTATTCTGTTACATTGGTCTGTGTGTTTATTTTTATACCAGTACTATGACCATTTTATCTCTTTTTATGTTTTTTGACTTAAAGTCTATTTTATCTAATACAAATATAGCTAATCCTACCTGCTTTTGGTTTCTATTTGGGTAAAATATCTTTTTTCATCCCTTCAGTTTCAATCTATGTGTCTTTACAGGTGAAGTGAGTTTCTTGTAAGCAGCATATAATTGTGTCTTGTCTTTTTTATCCATTCAGCCAGTCTATATCTTTTAACTGCATATGTAAACTGTTTACATTCAAGATCGTAATTGATAGGTGAGGAAGTACTCCTGTCATTTTCTTATTTGTTTCTGATTGACTTGTACATCCTTTGTTTTTTCTTCCTCTCTTATTGGTTACTTTTGTGATTTGGTGGTTTTCTGTAGTGACAACATTATATTTCTTTCTCTTTTTCATTTGTTTATCTGCTCCACCAGTGATGTTTACACTTTTGTGTGTTTTCATGATGGTAGATATTTTCCCTTAACTTCCAAATGTAGAATTCCCTTAAGGAGCTTGGGTCTTGAGAGGTGAGTGGGATCCAGTGTGAATTTTCTCCCTGAAACGATGCAGTCACATGAACTCTAGGCAGCTCCCATACTAGGCTTATGGCCTGTAAGGGCCAAGAGGTTCTCCTGTGGCTAGGCTTATAGGTGTCCATGGTGAGAATGTGCATCACTGTGAATCTCTTGCTTACCATTTTCCCACAATGGGGAGTTCTTCCTGGCACTGAGCTGATCCCAGCCAGGGCAACTGCTCACTTCCCTTTCTTTCAGTGCCTCAGAGGGTTCCTGTCACTTCCCTGATGAATTCCAGTGTTTTCTCTTACACACTCTATTCAATATGTGGTTGTCCACTCTCTGTTTTGATCTTTCTTTGTGAAAGAGGTGAGTGTTGGGTATCTCTAGTCAGCCATGATGTCTCCTTGGTAGATGTTATTTATCAAGTTGAGAAAGTTCCTCTATAATATCTAGCTTTCTGAGTTTTTAATCATGACAGTGTGTAGAATTTTGTCAAATGCTTTTTCTAATAACTTGATACAGTCATCTGATTTTTCTTCTTTAGACTGTTATTGCAATGAACTATACTGACAGATTTTCAAACATAGAATCAGCCATGCGTCTTCATTCTGCTCATTTGGGGTTTATTTTGCTATTTTTTCCTAGGATTTTTCTTTTTTTTTGAGATGGAGTCTCGCTCTGTCACCTAGGCTGGAGTGCAATGGCATGATCTCAGTTCACTGCAACCTCTGCTTCCTGAATTCAAGTCATTCTCCTGTCTCAGCCTCACGAGTAGCTGGGACTACAGGCACCCACCACCACGTCCAGCTAATTTTTGTATTTTTAGTAGAGATGGGGTTTCACTATGTTGGCCAGGCTGGTCTCAAACTCCTGACTGCAAATGATCTGCCCACCTCCAAAAGTGCTAAGATTACAGGTCTGAGCCACCGTGCCCAGCCTTTTTCTAGCTTTTAAAGGTGTGAGCTTCGATTATTGATTTGAGATCTTTTTTCCTAATGTAAGAATTTAGAGATAGAAATTTCCCTCTCAGCATTTCTTTAGCTGTATCTCACATATTCATTTTCGTGCACGTGTGTGTATGTGTGTGTGTGTGTGTGTCTAGATAACAAGAAATTTGAAAATAAACAGTACACTGCTAAATAACCCAAAGGCTTTTGTGTGGACACATTTTTTAAAATTTCTCTTGGGTATTCTCTAGGGGTGTAATTGTTGGATCATATGGTAATTCTATGTTTAAACACTTGAGGAACTGCCAGATTATTTTCCAAAGCAAGAATACCATTTTAAGTTTCCACTACCATATAAGGGTATCTCATTGTGGTTTTGATTTGTATTTTCCTGGTTATTAATGACATGGAGGATCTTTTCATGTGCTTATCTTTGGAGAAATATCTACTTAGATACTTTCTCTTTTTGAAAATTGAGTTATTTGTATTTTTATTATTGAGTTGTAAGTGATTATCTATCTATCTATCTATCTATCTATCTATCTATCTATCATTTATCATCTATCTGTCTATATCTATTTTCTAGATACCAGTTCCTTCTTAGATATATAATTTGGAATATTTTCTCCCATTCCATGAAGTATTTTTTTACTTTATTATCCAAGGTCATGAAGATTTATCCCTACATTTTCTTTTAAGAGATTTACAGTTTTAGCTCTTGCATTTAAATCTTTGATCCACCTTGAGTTAAATTGTTTATATTGTATATGTATGTGGTTATCCAGTTGTCCCAGAATCACGTTGAAGAGACTATTCTTTCATCATTGAATGGTCTTAGCATGCTTGTTGAAAATCAGTTGACCACAGATGTGTGGGTTTATTTCTTGACTCTCAATTATATTCCATTGATATGTATGTCTATCTTTATCAGTACTAAATTTTCTTGGTTACTATTGCTTCATAGTTAAGTATTTCTTTGGATATACCCAATAATGAGACTGCTGGGTCAAATGCTAATTCAATTTTAAGTTCTTTGAGAAATTGCCAGACTACTTTCCGTAATGGCTGAACTAATTCCCATTAGCAGCATGTAAGTATTCCCTTTTCTCCACAACGTTCCTAGCATCTGGTTTTTTTTTTAAAACTTTTTGATAGTAGCCATTCTGATTGATGTGAAATGGTATCTCATTGTGGTTTTGATTTGCATTTCTCTAACGTTTAGTGATGATGAGTATTTTTTCATATGCTTGTTGGCTATGTGTATGTCTTATTCTGAAAATTGTCTGTCCATGTCCTTTGCCCACATTTTCATGGAGTTGTTTGTTTTTTGCTTGTTAATTTGTTTAAGTTTTTGTAGAGCCCTGATATTAGGCCTTTGTCGAATGCATAGTGTGCTAATATTTTCTCCCATTCTGTAAGTTGTCTGTTTACTCTCTTGATAGTCTGTTTTGCTGTGCAGAAGCTCTCTAATTTAATTAGGTCCCATTAGTCAATTTCTATTTTTGTTGCAGTTGCTTTTGGAGTCTTCATGATGAAATATTTACCAGGCCCTATATCCAGAATGGTATATTCTAGGTTATCTTCCAGGGTTTTTATAGTTTATAGTTTTGGGTTTTACATTTAAGTCTTTAATACATCTTAAGTTGATTTTTGTATATAATGTAAGGAAGAGGTCCAGTTTCAATCTTCTGCATATGGCCTGCCAATTACCCTTACTAGGCAGTTTTTATGTGAGGTTGAGTCAATCTAGTTATTAGATGAACAGTACCCTAAGTTTGGGTACTGATAATGCTGTGTTTATTTTCAGTGCACCCAGGCTTCTAATCCTCTGTTGCCTTGTGTTCTGGATGGACTTGTTTGCAGAAGATTTTTCTCAATAGGTGCTTTACCCTCTGCTTTAGGTCTTCCCTTTGCACACCTGCGCCTCAGAGTGGGTCCTTCTTTGTATCTCCCCTTTATCAGTAGTAGACTGCTGTTACTTATCACTCAGGACCTATTAACCCGGTTGGGGCGGGGGGTGTATGCACAGGGAGCTCTGTTGTTATGGTTCAGTCACAGTGTTAGTCACTATGGTCCAGGGTTCCAGAAGTGGAGACTTCTCAGTGGTCCTTCCCTTGGGCATCTCAGTAGATCTCTAATGGTTTAGGCCCAGGATATTTTTCTATCCTTTCCCCAGTGGTACAAAAGGGTTTTCTTTCTGTTCCTTTACCTGAGGAAAAGCAGATTTGCTGTTCTTTCCAGCTGCTTAATGCTTTGTTCCATATGGGAGACAGATGTGAAGGATCTGGGTGGGGCTTTGGGCTTTTTCCTACAGTAGCTGTTGCCCACGTCCCCTAGGTCTGCACCATGAAGGAACCTTTCTCTGAACTCTCATCCCGACCCAACCTTTCTGAGAATCCAGTAAAGTCTGTGGAGAAGAGCCTGCATGTACATGTAAATTTCTTTCATGTCCATGGATCTCTGGGGTTCTATATTCTCATGTTAGCCCACACATACTCACTTTAGCAATTTGGCAAAAAAAACTTTGAATTTTTCTTACCAGTTTATTTGGCGTCCAGCCTCTGCCCCAGGGAGGCATTTGCACATGGCTCATGTCTTCTTGGAGGCATCTGTTTTTCTTTAGATTTCAGATTAGCCAATTGCCCTGCAACTTCAGCTCTCTGATCAGTTCAAGAAAAGATTTTATTTTGTAGATTATACAACTATAAATTTTTGTTGTAAGAGTGGAGATGACACTCTTTCTGAATTTTATCATCCTAAGCAGAAGCTGAATTTCCCTGGATATATTTTCCATATAGAACTCATAGGATTTGCTAATCTGTAGAGTGAGAGAGAGAGAGAAGTCAGTGATGTCCCCAAGATTTTGGGCCTAAGAGACTGGAATAACACATTGCCGTCAAGTGTGTTAGAAAAAGCAGCACATGGAGCACCTTTGGATGGGGAGATCAGGCATTTAATTTTGAACATGTTGAGTTTTAGGGCTGTAACTGGAAACCCTATTGTCTCTCATAACATTTCCATTTCTGAGTGTGATGCTTAAAACCTCTGTTCTTCAAACCTCCACCTTTAGATAAATAGCATATTTTCTAAAGGAAAGGCTCCCTGCACTTCCCACAGGATTGTGAATGAATAATAAGGGTCTCCCCCATCTCAAGAGGGAAGAATAATGAGGACCTTCAGACACGCATGCATGAAGTTGGCACATATTTCTAAGGACAGCAGTCTGGTTTCTTGAATATTTCCTCAAGAAGATAAGTTGCTATGTGAATAATGAAATTTTGTTAGAAGCAAATATTTCTATTGTCTTTACAAGTTGAGAAGGTCAAGGACAGTTGAGCCCATGGCAAATACCTCCAGGACCCTAGACCACCTAAGCAGAACATAGGAAGAGGCTGCAAAAACAAGTCATGCCTACATTAGCAACCACCCACCTCCAACCTACATGAGAAGTTGAAGAGTAGAGAGAAGCTGTATTTTAAATGTATTTTAATAAAGCAAATATTAAAACAAGTATTTATAAGTATTTTTCTTTCCATACCAAAAGCCTGCTTTGACAGTAAAGCTTGTTGACACATAGTTCAAACACTTCCGTCCTGCCTTTTAAGAAATTTATTCTGCTTTTCAAGGAAGGTATGTTTCTATTTTATCTACAAACCTTGTAGACTGGCCTTATGGTTTATAGCAATATAAAAACACATAAAGTGATGCGTTTTTTAAATGAAATTATGTAACGACACATCATGTATATATTTTACCACTCTTACAAAGATAACTTACAGTAAATAATGTTAACAATGTTAGTTTTACTTTTAAAATACAGCATTTTTAAATCTCTAAGCTCAACTTGAAGATATCATAAGAACAGTAAATTCGATAAAAATGAGAAATTACATTCCCATTTCTTTAACAATTTGTAAATTCCAATTATCCTGAACATTTGATACCACTTACATAATTTGTTAATCACATTTTCTTAAACATTTGATAAGAGATTTAATATTTTGATCCAACTACCACAAAGGTAGACTTGTGTACTTGACAGATTTTTCTAAACACTTGACAACTCAGGATTCAAACATAAACACAAAATAGCATATCAAAAGTTAATCACTCAGTTGGAAAACATTTAGACCATAGGCTTTGATTCATTTCTTGAATAATTTTGTTATATCTTCCTCTTTTAGGCTGGCTGCAATGAGCTATAATTGCACTACTGCACTCCACGCTGGGTGACAGAGGAAGACCCTATCTCTGAAAATAAAAGAAGTATATATATATATAAAAGTATCTTCCTCTATATAATTTAATTCATTAAGCCATTTATTTAGATGGAAACTTGGCCCCCTGACATGTGCTATGAAACAAATAGAAACCTAGAAATTTAGTGCCTATTCAAATATTAAGACAGACACTGGTGTGGTGACTTTTGACTATCGCCTCATTGGGACGTTTTTTCTTTCTGATCAACTTAATGAAAGTATAATTTACTATAATTAAGTGTAGCCATTTTTACTGTAGAGTTCAATGATCTTTGATGACCGTGTACAACCATGTAACCACCACCCCCAATCAAAGTAAAGAACATTTTCTTACCAGAATAAATTTCCTCTCCCTTTGCAGTCATTCTCCCCAGCCCTAGGTCACCACTGATCCACCTTCTGTTACTGGAAGGTTAGTTTTCTTCCCTGATTTAGAATTTCATATGAATTAAATCAGATAGTATATACTCTTGTGTTTAGTTTCTTTACCTTAACATGTTTAGAGATACTTGCTGTTGCATATGTCTGTAGCTTTTTATTTTTATTGCTGAATAGGATTTCATTGTAATATACCACAATTGGTTTATGTATTTGCTGATGAATATTTGTGTTATTTCCAGTGTGGGATTATTATGAATAAAGTTGCTACAAAAAAAAAACAAAAGTACAGAGAAGCAGGGAAAGGAAAGATCTTTGGAAGGAGTCGTTAAGGGCTATAGCAAGTTTCCTCCCATCCTCAGGGTCAGGAGTGAGGGGGAAGCACCTGAAACCAAGCAAGAGAACTTTCAGACAACACTTCAGAGATCTTGACACTTATGCCAAGGGCTTGGGAGAGCAGAAGGGCTTGTACTAGAAGTGGTAGCTCCAATGGCCTAAGGCAGCAGAGCAAAAAGAGGCAGGGCTGCACCCAGGGCAGCTGCACTTCCTCCAGTGGTGGGACAATTAATCTGTAGAAGTCCCATCTCATTACACATGACTTTCCTATAAATATTGAGAGTCTCCATCAGCCAACACAGTTTTCTATGAAGTCTGGCCATATCGCAGTCACTTCAAGGAGTCTGATCCATGTCGTTACAGATATCCCAGTGAAGGGCTAAATAAAGCTTAGTTCATGATTTTTGCAAGTGAGAATGGAATAAAAGCTAATCAGATTCAAGGTTTGGTTATCCTTTGAACTCAACATTATGTTCTTGACAACTGATAAAAGCAAAAGAATTTAGACATACATCTTGCCCAAGCAGAACTAGTTTGGAAGGCTTTCAGGGAAAAGGCTGTTTAGAAGCATGAGACCAGAATGGGGAGCACTTGTGTGTACATTTCTACTCAAGTTTTTCCATTTTCCTTCTCTAACATCTTCTTTTGTCATAATCATTGTTTCTCTTTTTTTTTAATTTATTTTTATTTTTTATTTTTTTATTATACTTTAAGTTTTAGGGTACATGTGCACATTGTGCAGGTTAGTTACATATGTATACATGTGCCATGCTGGTGCGCTGCACCCACTAACTCGTCATCTAGCATTAGGTATATCTCCCAATGCTATCCCTCCCCCCTCCCCCGACCCCACCACAGTCCCCAGAGTGTGATATTCCCCTTCCTGTGTCCATGTGATCTCACTGTTCAATTCCCACCTATGAGTGAGAATATGCGGTGTTTGGTTTTTTGTTCTTGCGATAGTTTACTGAGAATGATGGTTTCCAATTTCATCCATGTCCCTACAAAGGACATGAACTCATCATTTTTTATGGCTGCATAGTATTCCATGGTGTATATGTGCCACATTTTCTTAATCCAGTCTATCATTGTTGGACATTTGGGTTGGTTCCAAGTCTTTGCTATTGTGAATAATGCCGCAATAAACATACGTGTGCATGTGTCTTTATAGCAGCATGATTTATAGTCCTTTGGGTATATACCCAGTAATGGGATGGCTGGGTCAAATGGTATTTCTAGTTCTAGATCCCTGAGGAATCGCCACACTGACTTCCACAAGGGTTGAACTAGTTTACAGTCCCACCAACAGTGTAAAAGTGTTCCTATTTCTCCACATCCTCTCCAGCACCTGTTGTTTCCTGACTTTTTAATGATTGCCATTCTAACTGGTGTGAGATGATATCTCATAGTGGTTTTGATTTGCATTTCTCTGATGGCCAGTGATGATGAGCATTTTTTCATGTATTTTTTGGCTGCATAAATGTCTTCTTTTGAGAAGTGTCTGTTCATGTCCTTCGCCCACTTTTTGATGGGGTTGTTTGTTTTTTTCTTGTAAATTTGTTTGAGTTCATTGTAGATTCTGGATATTAGCCCTTTGTCAGATGAGTAGGTTGCGAAAATTTTCCCCCATGTTGTAGGTTGCCTGTTCACTCTGATGGTAGTTTCTTTTGCTGTGCTGAAGCTCTTTAGTTTAATTAGATCCCATTTGTCAATTTTGGCTTTTGTTGCCATTGCTTTTGGTGTTTTGGACATGAAGTCCTTGCCCACGCCTATGTCCTGAATGGTAATGTCTAGGTTTTCTTCTAGGGTTTTTATGGTTTTAGGTCTAACGTTTAAATCTTTAATCCATCTTGAATTGATTTTTGTATAAGGTGCAAGGAAGGGATCCAGTTTCAGCTTTCTACATATGGCTAGCCAGTTTTCACAGCACCATTTATTAAATAGGGAATCCTTTCCCCATTGCTTGTTTTTCTCAGGTTTGTCAAAGATCGGATAGTTGTAGGTATGTGGCGTTATTTCTGAGGGCTCTGTTGTGTTCCATTGATCTATATCTCTGTTTTGGTACCAGTACCATGCTGTTTTGGTTACTGTAGCCTTGTAGTATAGTTTGAAGTCAGGTAGTGTGATGCCTCCAGCTTTGTTCTTTTGGCTTAGGATTGACTTGGCGATGCGGGCTCTTTTTTGGTTCCATATGAACTTTAAAGTAGTTTTTTCCAATTCTGTGAAGAAAGTCATTGGTAGCTTGATGGGGATGGCATTGAATCTGTAAATTACCTTGGGCAATATGGCCATTTTCACGATATTGATTCTTCCTACCCATGAGCATGGAATGTTCTTCCATTTGTTTGTATCCTCTTTTATTTCCTTGAGCAGTGGTTTGTAGTCCTCCTTGAAGAGGTCCTTCACATCCCTTGTAAGTTGGATTCCTAGGTATTTTATTCTCTTTGAAGCAATTGTGAATGGGAGTTCACTCATGATTTGGCTCTCTGTTTGTCTGTTGTTGGTGTATAAGAATGCTTGTGATTTTTGTACATTGATTTTGTATCCTGAGACTTTGCTGAAGTTGCTTATCAGCTTAAGGAGATTTTGGGCTGAGACAACGGGGTTTTCTAGATAAACAATCATGTCGTCTGCAAACAGGGACAATTTGACTTCCTCTTTTCCTAATTGAATACCCTTTATTTCCTTCTCCTGCCTGATTGCCCTGGCCAGAACTTCCAACACTATGTTGAATAGGAGCGGTGAGAGAGGGCATCCCTGTCTTGTGCCAGTTTTCAAAGGGAATGCTTCCAGTTTTTGCCCATTCAGTATGATATTGGCTGTGGGTTTGTCATAGATAGCTCTTATTATTTTGAAATACGTCCCATCAATACCTAATTTATTGAGAGTTTTTAGCATGAAGGGTTGTTGAATTTTGTCAAAGGCTTTTTCTGCATCTATTGAGATAATCATGTGGTTTTTGTCTTTGGCTCTGTTTATATGCTGGATTACATTTATTGATTTGCGTATATTGAACCAGCCTTGCATCCCAGGGATGAAGCCCACTTGATCATGGTGGATAAGCTTTTTGATGTGCTGCTGGATTTGGTTTGCCAGTATTTTATTGAGGATTTTTGCATCAATGTTCATCAAGGATATTGGTCTAAAATTCTCTTTTTTGGTTGTGTCTCTGCCCGGCTTTGGTATCAGAATGATGCTGGCCTCATAAAATGAGTTAGGGAGGATTCCCTCTTTTTCTATTGATTGGAATAGTTTTAGAAGGAATGGTACCAGTTCCTCCTTGTACCTCTGGTAGAATTCGGCTGTGAATCCATCTGGTCCTGGACTCTTTTTGGTTGGTAAACTATTGATTATTGCCACAATTTCAGCTCCTGTTATTGGTCTATTCAGAGATTCAACTTCTTCCTGGTTTAGTCTTGGGAGAGTGTATGTGTCGAGGAATCATTGTTTCTCTTTATAGGCACAGACTCAGAGATTAGTCATTACCTTGGACCTAAACTTTTTTTTTCAAATGTATACATTTATAGGTTGCTACCATTTTTTCAGTGGCCTGAGGAAAACTACTATTTTGAAGTAAAGTAATACCATAGAGTATTTTATGGACCTTCATTGTCTTTTACTGGCTTGATGAAGCCAGTCACGGCCCCCACCCGCTCTCTTTTTTTTTTTCCTTAAGCAGATGAAAGGAAAGGGCAACCTTATTTTTTCTAAAAATCTATCTTCTTCTGACATGTTGGAGGGCTTATGTATTTTGTTTTATTCTCGTTCAAAGCCTTTAGCTTAAGCTATGTCAAGGCTGTCTATAGCAGTTGACTTCTGCTTTCTGCTGGGTCTTCAATTCCTGTTCCTCCTGCCACAAAAGAGCGGTTGCTGATGCTACTTTAGAAAGTGAAGTCATTTGCCTTTTCGGGTAGAATGAAGAAAGCCCGGAGGAGGCTGCAGAATCTTTTCACATGGTGAATATAGCAGGAAGAAAGGAAGGGAGGGAGGGAGGGAAAAAGAAGAAAGGAGGGAAGGAAGGAAGGAAGGAGAAAGAAGGAAAGAAAGAAAGGAAGAGAGAAAGAAAGAAAGAAAAAGAAAGAAGAAAAGACAGAAAGAAAAAGAGAAAGAGGGAGGGAGGGAAAGAAAGAGAAAGAAAAGGAAGGAAGGGAAAAAGAAAGAAGGAAAGAGAGAAGGGAAGGAAAGAGAAAGACAGAGAAAGAAAGAGGAAAGAAAGAAATAGAACTTTCTGTCTTACAGAACTAGATACTGCTCCTGGAGGCCTGGGTGTGACCGTGACGTAGACTCTGGAGCCACAGGATAGACCAGTGACCTCATTTTTCTTGCCAGGTGAGGTCTGTAAGATTTTGATTTGTCTATAATCTGGAATAGAATTGTGCCTTCAAATAAGTGACTTTTCTAACTTTAGGTTATACATGGTGTGATACTAACTTAAAAATAAGTGCATTTTCCTTCAAATAAACTGTTTCTTACGTACAGCAATTTGTAACTTAACAACAGTGGGGTTCTTCTTGGGTGTCTTGTTTTGCATTCTGTAGGTAAAGAGCTGAATTTAACACCGGTTGCAAGAAAAAAAAACTCCCAAGTGCATTTTAATTTCTCTTTCTCAAATTTCTTTTCTTGGATATGTAATATTAAGTGTATACAACACCAATTTAATAAATATCCTATACATTGCCTATATATAAGACCTCTTCTGGGGAATTGGAAAGTTATCAATGTTTTTAAGCAGCTTCAGTTCTCACGAATGAAATAGCTTGTGTACAGGATGATGAGCTATTCGTTAAACATAATCATTGTGCAGGAAGTAGCAAGGGTGGTGTTTTGTTCAGAGTTTGTATCAAAATACCCATTCTCCTAGGCTTTATGTTCTCAACAAATGACTATATTTTATAACATAAAATGTGAAGTTGTTTTGTAATTGGAAAAGGGGACAAAGAACATGTACTGCCATTAGGAAATATCCTTTTGTGTTCAGCTTTGTCATAAACTTTTTTAGTTCAGTTAATTTAACTGTATAAAATCTTTATAAATTATGACAACTGTACCTTCTATTTCAAATGGTGGAATGGTGCAGCTTATTTGGATATGGTTAGAAATTAGGCACATGCAACAACCAAGTCCAAGTGCATTTCTAGTTACAGGTTTCTTAATTTAGTAAGAACATTATTTTTACCAATATAAGTAATTTTACCTCTGTGTTGCACTTGTCAACTGATTTCAATATTAATCACAATAATGTCAAATGCTTAAACTACAAGAGTGAATTTCCAAAAGACTTTTGATTTCATGAATTAAATGAAAAACATTAAATCATGATTTTCTATTTGAATCCTCTGATGGCATCATTTAACTGCTGACTTCTCTTAATGGAGCCAACACATTAACAACCATTGCTTCACTTTTCATGTGTGCATAAAAAAACTTGGAGAAAGTAATGAGTATAATTAACTTAGAAGAACAGTCTTTTGATCTAAATGAAGTCATGCTTCATAGAGTAATATGTAGGCTCACCTTTTGTAGCCCTCATTTTAATCATTATCTTTTAGCGCCATCTTCTTAATGTAGCTATTAACTTTTGAAGTAGATGCTGATGGTTCTTGTGATTGGCAATCTGTGTCTTCTGATTTCCATCTAATCAAGCTTTTTCTAGGCTGCTGGCATGAGACTGCACTTTGCTTTATCATTGAGTGCCCCTCATGCTGTTCTCAAAAAGAAGGGGTTAGTTACACTGTGACCAAGTGCTAAAAAAAAGCACTTCGCTCACTACACATGTATCTCACAGCCTATAAGGTGAGAGCACGGCAGAAGCTGCAAGTACAAAGTGGAAGTTTACTAAATCCACCCCAGCTTCAGTTAATGCAACTATTGACAATAATACTTTGTTAAAACAACAACAAAAAGGACAAATACCCAAACAAGCAAAACATGAGGACAACAGGTATAACCCGAGACTGTTCCAGTGAAACCAAGCCATAGGCTTTCCATAACTGATGATAAGGATGCCAGCTCTGTGGATTAACAAGTGGGAGGGACCAAAGGAATCCCAGAGGGAGGAGTTGGCCTTGGAGAGGCAAGAGAAATTCTACAATACCAGATAAGAAAAAGTGTCAGTAGGTCCACAGCACCTGGAAAAGCCAGAGGTCAGTGACTGACAACATACAGTAAGATTCATTCAACACTTAGCAATTTCCTGTTGTTTGCCAAGCATCAGGTATGACAATTAGTACTATTTATTCAGCATCATTGCATAGCAAACACTTTATTTTATTTAATCTCCACAAAAGAGTGTAAGGTAAGTATTGCTACTTCTGGTTTACAGGGGATAAAACTGAGCCCAGGAGGGGCCAACTGACTTGCCCAACTCCTGGCCATTCCCTCCTGTTCTGGGCATTTCTCCTCTGCCTCTCCCCATTTCTCTGCCTACATGGGGAGTAGATGGGAATGGTGACTTCCCATGTTAAAGGTGTTAAAATCTGTGTGACCCTCTCTCCCACAGAGGTTTGATTATCGTTTTCTCCTCCCATCATTTCTCTTCCCTTTCCAAATGACCCCTCCAAAAACACATCCTTGTTTAACTAAACCTATTTCCTCTGCTGGCAAGAGAGAGGAAATGGGTTTTGATTGTGTTGCAAAAACGTCAGGGGTCCACAACACATTTTACATCTGATTCAATTTTATGTTTTATCATTTTATATTACTAGAGAGACTTTGTTTTTACTTTTTTTAATTTAAAAAGAAAAGAGGTTGATTTTGCTCATGACTGATGGCTGGAAAGATCAAGGCTAGGCATCTGCATCTGGTGAGGGCCTCAGGTTGCTTCCACTCAAGGCAGAAGGGGAAGGGGAGCTGGCATGTGCAGAGATCACATGGCAAGAGAGGAAGCAACAGAGAGAACAGGGGAGATGCCATGCTCTTTTGAACCACCAGCTCTTAATCATAAGAAATCACTCACTGTGCCCACCCCCCCACCCTCTGCAGGGAGGGTATTAATCTATTCATGAGGGATCTGCCCTCATGATCCAAATACCTGCCATTAGGCCCTACCTCCAATATTGGGGATTGTATTAGTCTGTTCTCACACTGCTAATAAAGACATATCCAAGACTAGGTAATTTATAAAGGAAAGGAGGTTTAATGGACTCACAGTTCCACATGAGTGGGGAGGCCTCACAATCATGGCAGAAGGCAAAGGAGGCACAAAATCATGTCTTACATGACGGCAGGCAAGAGAGCTTGTGCAGGGGAACTCTTATTTATAAACCCATTGGATCTCGTGAGACTTATTCACTACCACAAGAACAGTATGGGGAAACTGGCCCCATGATTCAATTATCTCCACCTGGCCCCACCCTTGACATGTGGAGGCTATTACAATTCAAGATGAGATTTGGGTGGGGACACAGCTAAACCATATCAGGGATCAAATTTTAACATGAGGTTTGTAGTGGACAAACATCCAAACCATAGCAAGTGATCAATTCACCTATCAATAACCAATAAGCATATAAAAAGCTTCTTACTCTCTAGTAAATAAAGATGGCAAATTAAAACAATAAAATGTAATTTTCTATCCATCAGATTGAGAACTTAAAAAGTGATAATTGATAATTCCTCAAGCTAGAGAAAGTACAAGGAACCAGACTCCCATTATCTGCTGGCGGGAGTGTAAACTGTTGCAACTTTTCCTTCACAGAAATACCTACCTAAGAATGTTTCGATCTGTTCTATTAAGTATCAGATGGCAGGTTCAGAACAGTGCATATGATTTTCTCTCATTTAGAAAATGTACCAGTGGTCTTCTCTGGAGAGTGGGGCTGAGGGTCTAAGTAGAGATGGAAGTTTTTTTTTGAGACGGAATCTCACTGTTGCCCAGGCTGGAGTGCAGTGGTGTGATTTTGGCTCACTGCAACCTCCACCTCCCAGGTTCAAGCAATTCTCCTGCCTCAGCCTCCTGAGTAGCTGGGATTACAGGTGTGTGCCACCATGCCCAGCTAATTTTTATATTTTTGGTAGAGACAGGGTTTCACCATGTTGGCCAGGCTGGTCTCAAACTCCTGACCTCAGGTGATCTGCCTGCCTCAGCCTCCGAAAGTGTTACGATTACAGGCATGAACCACCGCACCTAGACAAGGAAGCTTTTTTAACCATAGAATCTTAGGTAACTCTTTTTCTTACCATGTACATATATACTGTTTAAGTATCCAAATTTTAAAACCAATTTTTAATTTTAAAAATCTCAACTTGAATTTATCTGAGATTTCAGCTCATATTCACTGCAGAGTTATTTATAATATCAAAAAATGCAAACTTTATATCCAACAGTTTGGTATAAATTGGAAAAAAATAAACTAAACATTAAAAACCATATTGTGGAATATTTTGCAACATAGGCAAATATTCAAATACAGTAAATGAAAAACTGATTATAGATTATATTTCAATCTCCAATTGTGTAATAATCATATATGTACACGTATATGGTCAGGTCTCACTCTGTCTTCCAGGCTGGAATGCAGTGGCATAATCATTGCTCACTACAGCCTCAAACTCCTAGGCTCAAGGATCCTCCCACCTCAGCCTCCCAAGTAGCTGGGACTACAGGTGCATGCCAGTATGCCCTGCTAAACTTCATATGTTTTTGGAGAAACAGAGTCTCACTATTTTGCCCAGGCTATGCTTGAGCTCCTGGCTTCAAGGGAGACTTCTGCTCTGCTCACCCTGAAGATCTCAACTTAAAAGCCATATCCTGGCCGGGTGCGGTGGCTCACGCCTGTAATCCCAGCGCTTAGGGAGGTTGAGGCAGGCAGATCATGAGGTCAGGAGATTGAGAGCATCCTGGCTAACACGGTGAAACCCCGTCTCTACTAAAAATACAAAAAATTAGCTGGGCATGGTGGCATGCGCCTGTAGTCCCAGCTACTTGGGAGGTCGAGGCAGGAGAATCGCTTGAACCTGGAAGGCAGACATTGCAGTAAGTGCAGATGGGAGATCGCGCCACTGCACTCCAGCCTGGACAACAGAGCAAGACTCTGTAAAAAAAAAACAAAAAAAAAAAAAACAAAAAACCATATCCTGGAGGATGCAAATTAAGTCACATCTGCCAGGCAGGTATTCCCTTTTTTTTACAGCAGGTATCTCACATGATAATTACAAATACATTTGCCTCTCAGCCAACAAATATTTATTGAACCATACTCTGTGCCAAGCAATGTGGTTGGTACTAGAAATTAGGCGGAAAAATTCTTGTTCTTGTGTAACTTGCACTCAAATAACTGTAAGGTTACGCCTGTGCTAAGTGCTAGGAACGAGTATGTGGTAGTCCGAAAAACCCATGAAAAGGCAAATTGTACACAGAAACTAGCAAGGATTGCCCTAATACAAGAAATCCTAAGGAGGGGAATTAACCAGACCAAAGAGGGCATCGTTACCCAAGGAACCACACGTTCAAGAAGTAAAAGGCCAAAAAGGCTGTAGCAGAGCCAAGGGGAGTGTGCTGGAAGATGCCAGGCATGCCAGGCCGCCTGCACGTGAAGCACTTGTTGATCTGTTGTCTGGAAACAATGGGGTTATTAGGCGACGGGCAGAGGGAGGATCATACCTGATTAATAGGGACGGTTCCCCTCTGGGCTGAGAGTCTGTGTGTCCGTCTCACTCGGTGGCATCCCAGGAACCCAGAATAGCACTGCACGTAATAGGTGCTCCATAGGGTACCGGCCTGGGTGAACGGGGGACGGGCCTCTGCGGCCGGATGGACCACCCAGGGCCACACCTCCAGCGGCGACCCACATCCACGGCCCCCATATCCCAGGGCGGCCGCAGCAGGAGAGGGAGGGAGGGAGTCCCAGGGCCGCCCCGCAGACCGCCCCTGCCCTCTGGGTCCCCACGCCGCTGCCAGCCTCCTGCCGAGGTTCGGACTCCCGGGGGCCTTGAGGAACCGAGAAGCCGCCTCCTCCCGGGTGGGCGACGTCGCAGGACCGGGACGCTTCACAGAAGTCTCCCTACTGGGCACTCATCTCCCGCGGCCGGCAGCACCGGGCTCTGGAAGTGCCAAGACTTTGTTTTTTCAAGAGACAGGGTCTGGCTGTATTGTCCACGCTGTCCTTGAACTTCTGAGCTCAAGTGATCCTCCCACCTCAGCCTCCCTGGTAGCTGGGACTACAGGTGGATGCCGTCATGCCTGGTTACTAGAGGGACTTACACACACACACACACACACACACTAAAAAAAACCTACTAAACTACTTTTTAGAGAAGTTTTAGGTTCACAGAAAAATTGAACAGAAAGTACAGGGAGTTCCCATATACCCACTTGGTGTTGTACACTCTATGGATGTATAATGACATGCATCCACCATTGATGTATTGTACAGAATAGTTTCACTGTCCTAAAAATCCCTGTGCTCCACCTATCCAGCCTCTCTTTTTTTTTCTTTTTCTTTTTCTTTTCTTTTCTTTTTTTTTTCTTTTTTTTTTTTGAGATGGAGTCTTGCTCTGTCACCCAGGCTGGAATGCAGTGGCGCGATCTCAGCTCCCTGTAACCTCTCCCTCCCGGGTGTAAGCATTTCTCCTGCCTTGGCCTCCTGAGTAGCTGGGATTACTGGCACGTGTCACCATGCTTTGCTAATTTTTATATTTTTAGTAGAGACGGGATTTCACCGTGTTGGTCAGGCTGGTCTTGAACTCCTGATATCAGGTGATCCCCCTGCCTCTGCCTCCCAAAGTGCTGGGATTACAGACATGAGCCACTGCACCTAGCTGACTAAACCTCTTTTCTTTATAAATTACCCAGTGTCAGGTATTTCTTTATAGCAGTGTGAGAACAGACTAATACAGTAAGTATTATACATAAATGCAGCTGGTCTTCCTAAGGATGGTTGCCCCTTAAAGGAAAGCTCAGTTTCGTCCAGCAGTTTCCCGTAATTTTAGAATTTCCTTTTCAAAAGTGTCCAAGGCTAGGACAGTGTATCAGGTCAAAGTGTGTTGCTTTGTGAGCATCACTCCACAAAGTGTCACCAGTGAGTCATGAGTCCCTCTCCTGCATGTAACAGCTGTTCATGCAATTCTCTTCGAGAGAATTGAACTCATCCTCATGTTTCCTTTGGTTTTGAACAAACAGGAATTGGTCACAAATGAAAATACAAGTCTGAATTTCATGCAATAGGGAACAGCTACAATTTTAACAGCATGCTATGTAATTTTAGGCCAAAAGAAATGAAACTACTTATGGTAGACTGCCAATGCTACGACCTGGAACACCTGCTGTGAAATAGCAGCAGAGGAGACAGTTATCTTTTGTTTTATTCCTGAAACCAGAATCTCCTGCCCATAGACAGAGATCAAAACCTCCATTCTAAAGAGAGGCAGTTGGAGAGAACAGCCCAAATAAAGGCAAAACCTCACCAAAAAAGAAAGGGAGATCTGAATTCAGGAGGACTCACCCTTTTACACCCTGTGAAACCTCTGGAGTCTGAGGAACATAGTGCATTAATGCTGGTACCAAGCACTGAGCCCAAGAGGGAAGGCAGCATGTTCAGTGTTGGGAGGTCCCTCTGAATCCTGCTGACTACAGCGGACATGTCTACCTAAGAGAAGAAGCTTAGATAAAATTAATATAAGTAGAAGGTCTATTTGGGCCAAATTTGAAGACTGTAACCCAGGAAACACCTCCAAGTCACTTTGGAGAATAAAGAACAGACTCGAGCTTTTAAGGAAAAAGGACAAACCAGGGGAGGGGATGATTACAAAAGTTTTTGTCAGGAATTCTCATTGCTTTACAAAAATAACATTGATTAGTAACCTTTATACGTTATTTAACTATAGAATATGACTTATAGTGTCCACATATGGCATTGTTACATTAAATTGTATCTACCTGGGGCATCAGTCAGTCTAGAGTCCACATGGCAAGCAGCCTCAAGAGATGGTTACTTAGCTGAAGGAGGGAAGTGGGACATGACTGCTTTCTCATTCCAGTGCCTCTCTGGGCCTGATAATTGAAAGGGGCATTGCATTCCTCAGATTAAAAGGTTTTTGTGCAATTTATATTAAAATACGGATGTACCCAGAATTTATTTAATTACCCTTTACTTTTTCCTGCTGTGTATTGTTTTTAAATCATTATGTAATCTAAGGGTAGCATTATGCTTTCTGTCAGGCCTCCAGCCCAAGCTCAGCCATCATATCCCCTGTGACCTGCATGAATACATCCAGATGGCCTGAAGCAAGTGAAGAATCACAAAAGAAGTGAAAATGGCCGGTGCCTGCCTTAATTGATGACACTCCACCATTGTGATTTATTCCTGCCCCACCTTAACTGGGTGATTAACCTTGTGAAATTCCTTCTCCTGCCTCAGAAGCTCCCGCACTGAGCACCTTGTGACCCCCACCCCTGCCCACAAGAGAAAAACACCCTTTGACTGTAATTTTCCACTACCCACCCAAATCCTATGAAATGGCCTCACCCCTATCTCCCTTTGCTGACTCTCTTTTCAGACTCAGCCTGCCTGCACCCAGGTGATTAAAAAGCTTTATTGCTCACACAAAGACTGTTTAGTGGTCTCTTCACATGGATGCACGTGACATTTGGTGCCATGACTCTGATCGGGGGACCTCCCTTGGGAGATCAATCCCCTGTCCTCCTGCTCTTTGCTCTGTGAGAAAGATCCACCTATGACCTCGGGTCCTCAGACCAAGCAGCCCAAGGAACATCTCACCAAT